>NC_000007.14:49028120-49331151 GCF_000001405.40 Homo sapiens | reverse complement strand
ACACGTAAATATGCAAAGCAAACATTGACAGATATGAAAGAAGAAATTTACAGCAATAGAGTAATAGCAGAAGACTTGAATACTCCAGTTTCAGTAATAAATGGAACATCCAGATAGAAAATTAATGCAGAAAGGATGGACTTGAACAACACTAAGGACCAAATGGCCTTAACAGACATCTGTAAAACATTTCATCCAACAGCAACTGAGTATACTTTCTTCTCAAGTGCACATGAAACATTCTCCAGAATAGATCACGTTAGGTCAAAAAATAAGTGAACAAATTTAAGAAAATCAACATCATACTAAGTACCTTTTTCAAACACAATGGAATGAAATTAAAATTCAATAACCATGAGAAAACAAATACAAATATGTGGAAACTGATTAACACATTCTTGAACAAACACCAGTCAAAGAGAAAATCAAAAGTGAATTTTTGAAATATCTCAAGATGAGTAAAAACAAGACCACAACCTACTAAAATTTATGGGATACAGCAAATGCATGAATAAAAGGAAACTTTATAGCAATAATTGCCTACATTAAGCAACAAGAGAGATTTCGAATGAAAAAATCTCACTTTACAGCTCAAGAAACTGGAAAATAAAGAAAAAACTCAGCTCAAAGTTAGCAGAAGGAAGGAAATAATAAATATTAGAGGAGAAATAAATCAAATAGAGAATTAACTATTGAAAAATCAACAAAACTAAGACATGATTTATTGACAAAAAAATAAACAAAATTCTCAAATCCTTAGCTACAGTAGCTAAGGAAAAAGAAGATTCAAATAAAATCAGAAATGAAAGAGAAGACATTACAAAGATGCTTCACATAGAAAAGGATAACAGATAAAATTATCAACAATTTTGTGCCAACAAAATTGATAACCTGGAAGAAATAAATAAATTCCTAGGAACATACAATTTACCACTTCTAAGAAGAAATAAAAAGCCTGAATAGACCAATTACAAATAAAAAGATTGGGGTAGTAATAAAAACCTTTTAACAAAGAAAAGCCCAAGACAGCCAGGTGTGGTGGCTCATGCCTATAATCCTAGAACTTTGGGAGGCTGAGGGAGGCAGATCACTTGAGCCCAGAAGTTTAAAATGAGCCTGGGAAACATGGTAAAAACTCGTATCTACAAAAAAAAAAAAAAAAAAAAAGAAAAGAAAAGAAAATTAGCCTGGCGTGGTGGCAAGCACCTGTAGTCCTAGCTACTCAGGAGGCTGAGATGGGAGGATCACCTGAGCCTGGGAGGTTGAGGCTGCAGTAAGCCATGATCATGCCACTGCACTCCAGCTTAGGTGACAGAATGCGACCCTATGTCAAAGAAAAATTCTCCAAAATTAATTCCAGAAAACAGAAGCAAAAAAGTAGACCTTAACTGGTTTTTGAGGCCTTCATTACTCTAATACTAAAAGTGGATAAAGATATTATAAGAAAATCAGACTAAGATTTCTCATGAACGTAAATGCAAAATTATTCAACAAAATATTAGCAATTGAATCCAACTATGTATAAAATGCATGATACTCATGATCAACTGAGGTATTTTTCTAAGTACATAAGGCTGGTTCAACACTGGAAAATCAATTAATATAATCCACTGCATCTCAACAGGCTGAGAAGAAAATCTGATTATATCAATGGATGTAGAAAAAGGCATTTTGCAGAATCTAATATCCATGTGTGATAAAACTCTCAGCAAACTAGGAATAAAGAGAAATTTTCTCAACAATACAGAATATTACAAAGCAGTTACCAATAATATAAAATTGAGTTAGGGATAAAATGGACACATTCTTCCTGAAATCAAGAACAACATTGTGCTGTCCCTAGATTTCAAATATCTTATCCTATACTTTTCTTTTCTTTTTTTGAGAGGAAGTCTTTCTCTGTTGCCCAGGCTGGAGTGCAGTGGTATGATCTCAGCTCACTGCAAACTCTTCCTCCTAGGTTCAAGGGATTCTCCTGTCTCAGCCTCCCGAGTAGCCGGGATTACGGGCGTGTGTCACCACGCCTGGCTAATTTTTGTGTTTTTAGTAGAGACGGGGTTTCACCATGTTGGCCAGACTGGTCACGAACTCCTGACCTCTAGTGATCCGCCTGCCTCAGCCTCCCAAAGTGCTGGGATTACAGGCATGAGCCAACGTGCCCAGCCTCTCATCGTATACTTTTCTAATTGTTTTACGGTTTAACATTTTGCATACCATTCTGTGATCATTTTGAGTCCATTTTTGTGTAAAGTTTGAGACAAGTAGTTTTGTGCCTTTCGATGTTCATTTGTTCCGGTGCAGTGTTTTGCAAAGGCTGTGTTTCCTCCACTGACTGCTTTTGAATCTCTTTCAAAAATTAGTTAGGCATATTCATGTTAGTCTGTTTCTGGGCTGTCCATTCTGTTCCATTGATCTACATGTCCCTTTCTCTGCCTATGTCACACAATCTTGATTTCTGTAACTATAAAATAATTTATGAAATTGTATACTGTCTTGTTCTGGTTTTTATATTAGGGTAATACTAGATTAATAAGATAAACTGGAAAGAGTTCTTGCCTCTTCTATTTTCCAGGAGAGATTGTGTGGAATTGGTGCTGATTCTTCTTTAAATGTTTAGTAAAATTATCCAGTATAATTATATGTAATAAAAATAGAAACAGATTTTGATTTTGGGGTTTTGTTAAATTATTAATTCATTTATCTTAATATTTAAAGAAATAGTCAAATTACGTATTTTTATTGGATGAATTGTGTGGATTCTTTAAAGAATTACTCCAGTCATGTAAGATGTCAAATTTATGAGCATAGAGTTGTTCACAGTATTTTTTAATATTTTTTTCATGTCTCCCAGGTCTATAGTGATAGCTTATGTCTTATTCTCAATGTTAGTAGTTTTTGTCTTACATTTTTTTTTGTCATTCTTGCTATAGGGTTTTGTAAATTTCATCCATCTCTTCAAGGAATCAAAGGAACTTTGTTTCATCCCTTTTCTCTCCTCTTTTTCTGCTTTCAATTTCATAGATTTCTTTTTTGAAAGAAATTTAATAGAATACATAAATTTGCACTTCTTTATAATGATTATGAATATGATTATTTTAAGATGGGTTCTTGCTATGTTTCCCAGGGTGGAGTGGAATGGCTTTTACAGGCACAATTACAGTGCACAACAACCTTGAACTCCTGGACTCAAATGATCCTCCTTTCTCAGCCTCTGGAGTAGCTAGGATTACAGGCACATGCCCCCACACCTAGCTGATTTTTGCTATTACATTTATTTCCATTCTTCTGGGTGTTTTGTGTTTATTTTGCTTTTCTTTTTTGGAAGAGACACTTAAGATGATAGCTCTGATTATTTATTTGAATTTTTTCTCTTTTCTAGTGAGTGAGCATTTAGTAATAATATATTTCCTTCCCAAAATTTTTAGTTGTGTCTCAGAAATTTTGCTATGTGTATTTTTATTTTCAGTTAGTTCAATGTAATTTTTAAAAATTATGTTAGGACTTCTTTATTGGCCCATGGATTACTTAGAAGTTTATTTTTAGTTTCCAAGTTGCTATAGCTTGGATGTTTGTTCCCTCAAACCTGATGTCGAAATCTGATTTGCGGTGTTGAAGGTGGGACCTAATGGAAGGTGTTTGGGTCATGGAGGCAGGCTCCTCATGAATGGGTTGGTGTCATGGTAATGACTGAGCTGTAGCTCTCTTAGTTTCTGTGAGAGCTGATTCTGAAAAAGATCCTGGAACCTCCCCCCGTTTCACTTGCTTCCACTCTCGCCATGTGATCTTTACACATGCTGGCTCCTCTTTGCCTCCATCAAGAGTGAAAGCAGCCGAAAGCCGTCACCCAAAGCAGATGCCGGCAGCATGTTTCATGGACAGCCAGCAGAATCACAAGACAAATAAATCTTGTTTCTTAATAAATTACTCAACCTCAGGTATTCCTTTATAACAACGCTAAACAACTAAGACACAAGTGTTTCGAGATTATCCTATTATTTTTCTGTTATTGGTTTGTACTTTGGTTCTACTCTGGTGAAAATACACATTCTGTATGAGGCTTGACTTACGGCTCAGAATATGGACTATCTTGGGATATATTCCAGGAATACTTGAAAATATTGTGGATTCTGCTGTTCTTGGTCCAATTGTCTTACAATTGTCAATTAGATATTTTGGCTGGTAATAATATAGATTTCTTCTGTATCCTTGCTAATTTTCTGTATAGGTGTTCTATCAATTTTGCGGATAGAGATGTTAAAATCTCTAAATATAGTTTTGGATTTGTCTGTTTTTCTCAGTTCTGTTGATGTTTGCTTCTCATAACTTGCAGCTCTGTTATTTGGTATATATACACTTAAGATTGCCATGTCTTCCTGGTGAATTGGCCTTTTCATTAGTGTATAATATCCCTCTCATAAATACACATATGTGTGAATGTGTGTGTGTACACACATATACATTACATATATTTCTTCTGAAGTATACTTTATCTGATATTAACAGTTACTCCTACTTTCCTTTGATTAATGCTTGTATTATATGTCTTTTTTCATTCTTTTATTTTCAAGTTGTATATGTCATATTTGAAGTGAGTTTGTGAGCATATACAACTCACTTCACAACATGTAGTTCAACATTTTAAAAATAATTCTATCTATTTTTTTGATTGGTGTATTTAGACCTTTTTTATGTTTAATGCAATTATTTCTGTGTTGGGGCTTAATTTTATTGCAATAAAATGAGCCATTTTATTGCTCATTTTCTGTTTCTTCTGTTTTTTTTTTTTTTGTTTCTGTTTTCTTTTTTCTACCTTTATGTAGGTTACTTGAATAATTTTTAGAATTCAATTTCAACTTATCTATATACAGTTTATGGGTGTCTTTTGTATAAACATTTCAGCATTTACACTATTACATTACGTATACCAAATTTATGTATAAGACACTACTCTGTTGACATTGATTTACAAAATACAGTGAAGCACAGAAAGATTATCTCCCTTTATGTCTGTGTAACCTTTTCCATTTATAATACAATTAACTATTTATTCCACATACATTATTGATCACATTATTCTATATTTTTGCTTTATCTATCAAGCATAATTTAGAAAATACAAGAAGATAGGAAAGCTTATAGCATTAATCTATATTTCTGTTAAGGGTCTTTTCTCAAGATGTCTTCATTTAACATTTTCTTTCTACTTAGAGAATCTTCTTTACCCATTTTTTTAGGATATATGTACTAACAACAGTCTCTTATTGTCCTACATCTGATAATAACTTAATTTCCTTGTCATTCCTGAAGAATATTTTCACTGAGTGTAGGATTTTCCGTTGGCAGGCCTCTTCTTTTAGCACATACAAAATATTGGCCCATTTCCTTCTGGCTTTACGGTTCCAGATGAGAAACCTCTGGTTCTTCTAATTATTTTTATCCCCCGATATGAGTAAGATTTTATTTTTCTCTGGCTGCATTGCTGGCTTTTCTGTCTTTACTTCTTCCATGTTTACTGGCATGTATTTCCTCATATTTATCAAGTTACTGTCCCCATAGCTTCTTGAATCTGGAGGTACACGTCTCTTGCCAGATCTTGAAAGTTTTCAGCCATTATTTTTTTGAGTAATATATCCACTCTCATTTCCTATTTGTTCTGAGATTCTGATGACCTAAATGTTAGATTTTTGGTTTTAATTCATCATTTTTGATGCTTTGTTTATTTTTTTAGTCTGTTTTCTCTCTTATTCAGAGTGTGCAATTTATAATTTTCTATTTTCCTATTGGTTAATTCTTTTCTCTGTGTTCTCCATTAAAGTCTTGAGCACATCTACTCAGTTTTTAGTTTCTGTTTCTGTAACTTTCAGTTCTAACATGTCCATTCAGCTCTTCTTTATATCTTCTATTTCTTTTCTGGTAAGTTTTCATTTCTTTATTGAAAACTTCTTTTTATTTGTTTCAAGGGTTTTAGTCACTGCTCATTGAAGCATTCTTATTATAGCTGATTTAAAATATTTGTTAGTAGTTCTAATATCTCTGTCATGTCAGTGATGTCATCTATTAACTTCATTATTCAATTAGAGATATTCTTGCTATTGGTTTCTGAGTGATTTTCTATTGAAATCTGAAAACATATGTTTACATCCTGAGACTCTGGACCTTATTTTAATTTTTCAGTTTTAGATTACTTTCTCTGACTCCTTCTGCCCGGGAAAGGGGCACACTGTCTCATTACTGCTAGATGGCAGTAGTAGTCCAAATTGTCCATTCAGCCTCCCTGGCATCCAAGAAAGGAGCTCCTCATTACTGCTGGGCAAGTCTGGGAGTTCCAATTGCACACATTATCCTCATAGACCCAGAAGTGCTGGTGGCCTTATTACTGCTGGATGGTGATTAATGTCTTGACTGTCCACTAGGCCTTCTCTTATGACACCACAGCAGGAAGTGAGAGGAGTGTCTTGTTAATTTTGGGTTGAGGTAGAATTCCTGGCTCCCCATGTACTCTTTACTTACACTATGAGGGGTGAGAGAGACTTCATTAATAGGTGGCAGGAATAAAAGTCCCAGCCCTCTTCTTGGTCTTATATGATGCCACACTGTTTGAGGCATTTGACCCAGAGAAACTCCATTTTGAATAGCGACTGGGTAAAATGAGGCTGAGACCTACTGGCCTCCATTCCCAGGAGATTAGGCATTCTAAGTCACAGAATGACATAGGAGGTGGACACAAGATACACGTCACAAAGACCTTGCTGATAAAACAGGTTGTGGTAAAGGAGCTGGCCAAGACCCACCAAAACCAAGATGAAAATGAAAGTGACCTCTGGTTGTCCTCACTGCTCATTATATGCTAATTATAATGCATTAGCATGCTTAAAGACACTCCCACCAGTGCCACCACTGTTTACAAATTCCATGACAACGTCAGAAAGTTACCCTATATGGTCTGAAATGGTAAGAAACTCTCAGTCCTGGGAATTGCCCACCCTTTTCCCAGAAAACTCATGAATAATCCACCGCTTGTTTAGCATATAATCAAGAAATAACTACAGATATTATCAGTACAGTAGCCCAAGCTGCTGTTCTGCCTATGGAGTACCCATTCATTATTTCTTTACTTTCTCAATAAGCTTGCTTTCACTTTACTCTATGGACTCACCCCAAATTCTTTCTTGCATGAGGTCCAAGAACTCTCTCTTGGGGTTTGGATACAGACCCCTTTCCAGTAACAACTTCAGGAGTGACTTGGGGTTGCTTCATTATAATTTTGTGAGGGTGTAAGTGTAAACTGCCTCCTCTGCCTTGAGCTGTGTAAGTGGGAATGGGGCCCACGGTTTTATCTGCGGTGTTTGGCTAGAGTAGAATGGTTATTTTCTAAAACTTTTTTATCTTTCTAGGCTGTCTCTTCCCTGCTTCTTTGATTAGAAAGAGCAGGCTTTTGTTTAGGCTTGTTTTTTTCTGCAGCCATTGACAGTTCTGGGTGGCTGGTTTCTTCAGTTCCCACCTGAAATATACGAGGAAAAATAGAAAACAGAGGATGCTCATCATTGTGTTATTCCTTAGATCTCCAGCCTCCTAGGAAGCCTGAGCTTTTCTTTTCAATTTTCAAAGTCTTCTTATGTTTGTTTTGTATATGCTTTTTAGGGAAGTTAGCTGTGCTTAGCAGGAGAAATAGGCACAGATATGCTTACTACAAAATTCTGGAAGCAAAAGTTCTGTGAGTTCTTTTTTTGTAAATTGAAATGTCCAGAAATAATGCAGCATGATGTGTCATGGGAAGAGGTTTGTGACTCGTTTAATGCCCAGGAAATTTGATTTCAATTATGAAACAAACATGAGAATATTCCTAAATATATTAGAATTTATGTTAAATTCATAAAAACTTATTGAAAATATAATTTGCTCATATAATTTAAAACCATAATAAAAATGATGATGAAAATTGAGGACTTATGAATATAACATTTACCCTACACCAGCAATGTTACTAGAACACTCACTTTGTTAACAGTATAAATGTAAAAGTAAAAATACAATTTATTAAACTAGCAAAATATTAAAACAGTAAATTATAG
Source organism: Homo sapiens (assembly GCF_000001405.40). Lineage (NCBI taxonomy): Eukaryota > Metazoa > Chordata > Mammalia > Primates > Hominidae > Homo > Homo sapiens. The sequence continues at coordinate 49,323,079 of NC_000007.14, read as the reverse complement.
AAATTTGCAGACCTAAGTAGGAAAATATTATATATCTAATGAATTATTATCTAATATATAGTAAACAGAAAGGAGGTTTCTTATGACTGTTAGTAAAAACAAAGGTTTTAAATTACTATTTTGGAGGAAAACATATTTCCCAACAGAATATCATTTCTATTCCACATTAAAAAAAATTGATCATGGTCAATTTGCTGATTTTTCTGATTGTCTCAATGTGAACTATGTTAAGTTCTTATAAATGAATTACATTCAGCATATGCAATGACTGTTCACATAACTTTTTGAAAGTTAAAATTCTTTGGTTCTTTGAGACTGGGACTTATCTGATGGTATACACTGACTGGGCATAGTGATCTTCTCATTGCCACAGGCAGGTTTCATTTTGAAACAAACAGTTCACATGACAGTGTCTATTACACCTTGGTAAATTACTTTTCATAGTTTTACTTTGGGTGTACTGTTTTGCTCATTTATGTTTTGCATATCAGAAATACATTTCTCAAAAGTGTAAGATGATTAGGGCTACAGATGGCTGCACTGAAGTAGTGATAGTTTTTATTATCAGCTTTATAGAAAGTTTCTTACAAATGTTACTTTAGTGTCATTTTTCTTCAAGAACTTTTTTTCATTTTGTAATGAATTCAGCAGCAGAAAAAAGTGGTGTGAACTTATAAATATATTAGTTAAATTAGCATCAATTTTGCATGAGTTTTTAAGGTTATGGAGCTTCTAGATATGTCATTTTACCTCCTCTTGAAATGTTTTAGCAGTGTGAATACCTGTAAGCATTAATGACTTAATATGCATTGTCCTGATGATGCAGTAATGTAACTTAATCTTAAAAGTCAGCGCTCTTCCAGGAAGTTTCTAAATCCTTCCTCTTCTTCACCCACCTTTTCTTTCTGCAGGCTACTTTTGGCCACCTTTCAAAGCCCCAAAGCTGGCATTTCAACATATTTTTCCTACCTTCCAAATGGGCTCCAAAAGGCCTGGGTGCTTATGTTTGCCATGGCAACAACTGCACTTTGTGTAACCATGTCTGGTTATTTGTTGGTCTCCTAGGGGGTTGGGGCTTCTTGAAAGCAAGGACTGAGTATTCTAAGCCATATTTATTTCTGCAAATCAATTCCTGTCAAATGCCTAATCCTTACTGGGTACAAAATAGAGGCTGGTTGTAAGAAACAACACCATCCCATTATCTTGCTATTTATGACAACTCCTGGGAAATGAATTAAGAAAACTGATGTGAATTGAATGGCAATATTTATTTCTGGATATCCTCTGTGCCTTAATAAAAGAACAAAACTACCAATTGGCCAACCTTTCTATTGAGTTTTGCAAGTTGCAATGACCATTTCTTTAAGCTATTCTGGTCATTATTTACATCTACCCTTTTTTGAATCATACTATAATGGTTTTCACAACATAAAACAAAATGTATACAGCTTATTCATGTCAATAGAAAGGTATTTAGATTTTATATTCATTTACCAAATTCTAAGCATGTAATTCTAATATGGAATATAAATCATAGCATGGCATCATATGGTTTAATATTAAAGTGCAACATATATAGTTTAGAAATAGATGTTATAGTCGTGATCTCCAGAAGGACTCATATAAATGCATTTACCTTCTACATAAATTATTAATAACATGTCATCTTTAATTTTTGTCTGAAGTGTGAAAGATGTGCAAATATAGAATAAATAGGCAATTTAATTTCATATCATTAAGAATTAGTTTTCAGAAGTCTGCTTCAGTGTTGCCTATGCACTGTCTTATAAAAAATGGGAAAAGTTAAATTACTCATAAATTAGGAATGGGCTTTTACAATGAGATATCTCAAGAACAAAAAGTAATTTCAATGTGAACATTGCAATTTCCATAACAGTGAGATTTCTGCTAAGGTGCAAGCTGCTATGCTAAAAAACAAAACAAAAAAAAATAGTTTCAAAGGAAATAAATTTTTGTGCTTAAAATTTGTGTTATGCGTCATATAATTAAAAGTATCATAATGCAGCTAGATCTGTGTAGAGGGAAAGCCTACAGATAAGGCATTCATCAGAAAGTGTAAGGGCTTAAAAGTCCAATAGAAAGATTCAAGAACTTACTGAAGTTGGTACTGATATTAAATTCTCATACAAAGAAAACAATCAAAGTCTGTGGGATGGAAATTATTAAATGCATCTGGGGTAACTCTCATACACTACTTCTATTTTTCTATCTTCCCTTGCTCCTTCATAAATTTATGCACATCTTCCAATATTTTTTCTTTTACCTAGAAGCAGTATCTGAAAATAGCATTTTGGCATGAATGAATCTTTTCAGAAACTGCAAAAAAATTAAACTTTGTGCTATAATGGTGAAATATCTGAAATGTGGATTAAAAGCTGTTTGTATCTGGCCCTGCCTGACTTCTCTGGGGACACTTGTCTTCCACACCCCCACACTGCCTTCTTCGACATTCTCTTTAGCATCCTGGTAGAGAAAAGAATGATGTAAGGCTTAGAAGCGGAACATCCAGAGACAAGCATATTGGTTTTGCATTTTTGGTTGGTCTGGAGAAAATTAAGTAAGACTTTCATGTTAGCTATACTGTCTCTTTCCATTTATTAAATATTTTATAGAGCTAATTGCAGATTCCCATGAAGTTGAAATAAATAATACAGAGAGATTCTATTCATACGTTGCCCAGCTTCCTCCAATGGTGATATAATACGAAACTACACTGTACTATCACAACTAGGATAAGGACATTGATGGAATCCACCTGTCTTACATTTCCCCAGATTTATTTACTTATTTTTATGGTTTTATTTCTTTATTATATAGTCTTATCACAGGCATAGGTTTTCGAGTCTGCCTTATAGTTAAAATTCTTAAGAGTTCCATCACCACAATAACTCCTCGTGTTGTCCTTTTACAATCACACTGGCTTGCCTTCTTCCCCCACTTCTGTACCTAACTTTTGACAAATACCAATATATTTACCATTTCCAAAATATTATTTTTTTAAAATGTTATAGTCATATAGTATGTAAACTTTTATGATTGACTTTTTTTCTTTCAGCATTATTACCTGGGGATTCAGTCTAATTGTTACATTTATACAGTTCATTTCTTTTAATTGCTGAGTAGATACACATAGTGTGTTTGTACCAATGTTTGATTAACCTCTCACTCACTGAAGGACATTTGGGCTATTTCCAATATTGAGCTATTACAAATAAAACTACTATGAACATACATGCTCATGTTTCTGTGTGAGCATAAGTTTTTACTTCTCTTGGACAAATGTCTAGGAGTGCATTTACTGGGCTGAACTATATAATAATCACATACCTACATTTATAAGAAACTGCCAAATTTTTCCAGACTGGCTGCACCATTTCACACTTCCAGCAGTCTGGTATAGATTAACCAATTTCTCATCCTTGCCAGAATCTGGTGGCATTACTATTTTTTTTAATTTTCAAAATTCAGATTATGTTGTAGAGATATCTCATTGTGTTTTTAATTTGCATTTCCTTTATGGATTATAATACGGAACATCCTTTAATATACTTATTTGCATTTTATATTCTCTCATTTTCCAATTTAATTGTTTTCTTACTGTTAGTTTTTGAATGTTTTTTCTGAAATGTATATTCAGATATGAGTTATTTAATACAAATATAATTTGGAAAAAATCTCTAAGCCTGTAATTTGATTTTCCAACCTCTTAATGGTTCTTTTACAGAGCAAAAGTCTTCATTATGATGAAGTCCAATTTATCCTTTTGATCTTTTATAGATTGTGCCTAAATTGTAAAGATTTTATTCTATGTGTTTTTCCCCTGAAAGTTGTAGAGTTTTAAATGTTACGTTTAACTTCAAGATTCATTTTGGGATTTATTCTAGGATGAGTTGTGAGTTTTATGTCAAAGTTTATTTTTATTTTTAAATATAATGTCTAAATGTTATGCTGCCCTTTATTGAAGGACTATCCTTCCTTTATTAAATTTTTGCTTCTCTATTAAAAATTATTTTGCCATATTTGTGTGGGTCTTCTCCTGTAAATATTCTCCCCATTCACAGTTTTACTTACCACAATTTCAGATACCCGTGGTCAATCACTGTCTTAATCTATTTTCTGTTGTTCAGAAAAGGCCACTTAAAACTGGTAACTTATTGGGAACATAATTCATTCCTTACAGTTCTGGAGGCTGGGAAGTCTAAGTTCAAGTGGTGGCATCTGGATGGCCTCCTTGTTGGTGGGTACTCTACTCAGAGTCATAAGGTAGCACAGGGATTTCTCACATGGTGAGGGGGCTGAGGTGCTAGCTAAGGTCTTTCTTCTGCTTCTTATAAAGCCACTAGTCCCACTCCTGTTATAAGCCATTATTCCATTAACCAGTTAATCCATTAATCCATAAATGAAATGACAGTTCGTAGGGGAAGAACCCTCAGGACTCAATCACCTCGTAAAGGCCCCACCTTTTAATACTGCCACGTTGGGAATTAAGTTACAACATTAATTTTGCAGGGAACAAATAACAATCACAGTCTAAAACTATCAAGGTATTTTGAGAGAGAGAGTGCGCACATTCACATCATTTTATTATAGTATATCATTAAAATTATTCTATTTTATTATTATTTGTCAACCTCTTACTGTGCCTAGTTTATAAATTAAATTTCATCATAGGCATAATGAAATTTAATTTATAACTAGGCACAGTTTATAAGCATACTATAATAAAAGTGATATGAATGTGCTCTCTCTCTCAAAATATCTTTGTATATTTTATAGAGAGATATTTTATACAGAGATATAAAAAATAAACTTTTCATACATTTATATATGAAAAAACATAGTAACAATGTTCAGTATACAGTTTTGGGCATCCACTGAGAGTCTCAGAATGTATCCCCACAAATAAGGGGAGGACCACTGTATTTCATATTCTCTTCCATTGATCCATTTGTTTGTTCTCCAATTAACAATGTCTGGATTACTGTAAGCATATAGTAAGCCTTGATATCAGATAGAGATCTACCTCCCACTTTATGCTTCATTGTCTAATCATTTTAATGCCTTTAGCTTCTCTTTTCTATACAAATTTTAGAATAATTTTGCCTATGTCTATGAAAAACATTGAATTGTCATATAAATTATTTTAAACTTGTAGGTCAATTGGGAAGAATTGGCACATTTGGTATGTTGAATCTTCCAACACAAAAACAACAACAGCATCAACAACACAAAAAATGTATTTCCATTTATTTGTCTTTTATCAGCATCTTTTGTAGTTTTTTATATACATGTTCTTTACATGCTTTGTTAATTTTATACTGAAGTATTTTATTAATTTGGGAGTGATTGTGGATGACAACGTGTTTTTAATTTTGGTTTCCACATGTTCATTATTAGTACATAGAGATGTGGTTAATTTTTGTGTTAATCTTGCATCATATGATGCTGTTGAACTCATTTTGTAGTTAAGGTCATTGTTTTGTAGATTCCTTGAAATTTTCTACACAGACAATTGTGTCATCTTCAAATACAGTTTTATTTTGTGCTTTCCAATCTGTATTTTTCCCTTGTCCTATTTCAGTATCTTCAACTTTCTGTAATATGTTGATGTATGTTGCTTTGACCCTGCTTTAATTAGGAACGCATTCAGTCCTTCACCATTAAGTATGACATTTGCTGTAGATTTTTAAATTAAATCTTCTTATCAAGCTGAGGTAATTTTCTTCGGCTCCTAAGTAGGTGAGAATATTTATCATGAACAGGTGTTGGATTTTGTCAAATGCTCTTCTGTATCAACTGATATGGTCATATAATTTTTCCTCTCTAGCATATTGATAGGAAAAATTCCATTGTTTGGTTTTTAAATGTTAAATCACTAATATACATTTTGAATAAACTTCAGTTGGTCATATAGCGGATATTTTAACAGATTGCTGGATTTCATTTGCTCATATTTTTTTGAGGATTTTTGCACATAAGTTGATGTTAGACTCTTTCTCTCTTTTTTTGTCTCTTCTCTCTTGTATTATCTTTGACCAGTTTTGGTATCATGAAAGTTTTGGCCTCATAAAATAAATAGGAAGTGTTTTCTTTGCTTCTGTTTGATGAAATAGATTGTTTAAAATTGATGTTTTCCTCAAATTTTTGATAGAACACTCCAGAGAAACCATCTGGAGCTGAGGATTTCTTTATCAGAGACATTATGTGTTAAGCTTTTTTAATCTTATAGGGCCATCAGATTATCTGTTTCATCTGGTTGAGTTTTGGTTCTTGATGGCTGTACAGGAATTCTTCTATTTTTTCTAAGTTCATTAATTTATGAGCTTAAAGGTGTCATAATAATCCCCTATCATTTTAATCTAAAGAATCTAGAATAATACTTTTAATTACATTTCTCGTATTTGTGACTTGCATCTTTTTAAAATTTTTTGTCAGTCTTTCCAGAACCAGCAAGAACCAGCTATCAAATTCTTTTATAGGAAGGATTTTTTGTTACATTTATTTTTCTCTACTGTTTTTATATTTTAAGTTTCACTGAATTCCAGTTTTATTTTTTTCTGCTTGTTTTGGGTTTATTTTGCTCTTCTTTTTTAGATCTTTGAGAAAAGAGCTTACATTATTGATTTGAGTCTTTTCTTCTTTTTTAAAAAGTACAAACTTAGAGCTACAAATTTAAACTTCACTCTCAGCAATACTTCATTAGTATACCATACATTTTTGTATATTTTATTATCTATTTTAGTTCAGTTTAATGTACTTTTTATTTACCTTAAGAGCTATTCTTTGACACAAAAATCATTTAAAAATATGCTTAATTTCCATTTGTTTAGAGGTTTTTCTGCTTTCTGTTATTAATTTCTAGTTTGACTCTGTCATAATGCCACAATCTGTATAATGTCAATTCTTTGATAGCTGTTGAATTTTGTTTAGTGACCCAAGATTTGGTCTATTTTGGTGAATGTTCCATGTATGCTTCAAAATAAATGTGTATTCTGCTATTGTTGGGTGATGTGTTCTACGTTAACATGTTAGATAAATTTGGTTGATTGTGTTTTTTGGATTTTCTATATCCTTGCTGATATTTTGTCTAGTAGTTCCATCAGTTGCTGACGGGAAGTTACTGAAATGTTCAATGATATTTATATATTTATTTATGTTTTCAATATATCGGTTTTAGCATGGTATCTTTTGTAGCTCCATTGATTGAGGCACACACATTTAGGATCAATATGTTTTCCTAATAGATTGTTTCTTTTATTTTAACTGAATATATTTCTTTGCTTCTAGAATTTATTTTTAACTCTGAAGTCCAATTTATTAGATATGGATATACTCTTTTTTTTCTTATTAATGCTGGTATGATACATATTTTTCCTTCATATTACTGTATATTTACAGTAAACTACGAGCGATTAAATTTAAAATTAGTTTTTTGTAAAAGACATCAAATATCCACTTTGTCAATCTGTTTTGAAAAGTATGTTTAGATCATTTAAATTTAAATTATTGACATATTATTTCTTAAATCTGTCATTTAAATATTTTATGTTTACTTCCTCTGATTGTTGTTCCTCCATTTCTCTATTCTTGTCTTTCTGTGGATTACTTAACATTATATAAGATCCCATCTTAATATTTTTTTAGTGTATCTCTTCATATTTGTTTTTGTCTTGGTTGCTCTTAGTATTCCATTATACATATGTAACTTGTCACAGTCTACTGATGTCAACATTTTACCATTTCAAATTAATTATACAACTCTCACTACCATTTAGGTTACTCTGTCTTCCCTAAAATAATCACACTTCTGAACATCTTTGGGGCCGGGCGCGGTGGCTCACAGCTGTAATCCCTTAGGAGGCCAAGGTGGGCGGATGATTTGAGGTCAGGAGTTTGAGATCGGCCTGGCCAACATGGTGAAACCCCATCTCTACTAAAAAAAAAAATGCGATCGAGACCATCCTGGCTAACATGGTGAAACCCCGTCTCTACTAAAAATACAAAAAATTAGCCGGGGGCGGTGGCGGGCGCCTGTAGTCCCAGCTACTCGGGAGGCTGAGGCAGGAGAATAGCATGAACCTGGGATGCGGAGTTTGCAGTGAACCGAGATAGTGCCACTGCAGTCAGGCCTAGGTGAAAGAGCGAGACTCCGTTTAAAAAAAAAAAAGAAAAGAAAAAAAAATGCAATTAGCTGGGCGTGGTGGCGGGCGCCTGTAGTCCCAGCTACTCGGGAGTGTGAGGCATGAGAATCTCTTAAACCCGGGAGGCGGAGGTTGCAGTGAGCCAACATCGAGCCACTGCACTCCAGTCTGGGCGACAGAGTGAGACCTGGTCTCAAAAAAATACAAAGCAAAACAAAAAACATCTTTGTCATGAGTGTCATACTGTGTTAATATTTTTTGTTTCAATAACTAATATGATTTATGAAACATATGAGTTGAAATATAATCTAATGTATATATCCATATTTTTAATTGTCCCGTTATTATTCCTTCCTGATGTTCCAAGAGTCTTCTCCTATTCACTTTCTTTCTGTTTGAAAAATTTTCTTAACTAATCTTCAGGGTTAAGTCTACTAGTAATAAATTATCTTAGCTTTCCTTCATCTGAGAATGTTTAATTTGGGTCTTCATTCTTGAACGATAGTTTTTCTAGATATAGAAATTTGAATTTTCAGTTGATAGGTCTGTTTTATTTTTAACACTTAAAATGTTGTGTCACTTCTTTCTGGACTCCATGGTTTCATATGAGGCATCCACTGACATTTGAATAGTTCTACTATAGGTAATTCATTTTTTTCTCTCAGCTGCCTTGAAGAATTTCACTTTGTCTTAAGTTTTCACAAATGTAATTATCAGGTTTCTTGGTGGAAATTTCATTGGTTTAACACTGTTTGAAGCTTGCTTAGACTCTTCAATCTGCAAATTTATATCTTTTGCCATATTGGAAAATTCTCAGCCATTATTTTTTTCAAATTATCTATCAGCCCTGCTCCTCTCCTTCTGTGACTATAAAAATACAAATGTTTAATATTTTGGCATTGTTTCACAGGTCCTTGAGCCTCTGTTCTTTTTTTTAAACTATATGCTCTCTTTGCTTTGCATATTGGGTAAATCCTATTGATCTGTATTCAAGTTAAGTGATTCTATTTTCTGTAACTTACGACACTACGATATTGAGCCAATCTCATAAGATAATAAAATTTCTGTTAGTATAATTTTCAGTTTTGCAATTTCTATTTGGGTCTTTTTAAAATAACTGCTATTTTTATCAGTATTTTCAAGAGAAAAATTTTGAGAAATTCTCAATCACTGTTTCTTCAAATATTTGCATCCCTTCTCCTTTGGGCACTCAAATTACAAATATGTTTGACCTCTTTAACTCTCCCACAATTCAATGATGCATTGTTAATTTTTTTGAAATATTTTCCACCCTGCATTGTATTTTAGCTAATTTCTATTTCTATCTTCAAGTTTACTAATTTTGAAATTCAGTATCACTAATGATAACTTTTTAATGTCCTTGTCTACTCTTTCTAACATCTGTGCCATTTGTGGCTTAGTTTGCATGTATTTTTTTCTTATCACAGTTTCTATTTTCCTGAATTTTTTTTTTTTTTTTTTGTAGTCCTGGTAATTGTTTCTTGGTTGGCGATATTGTGAATGTACCTTTTTGGATAGAAGTTTTTTTTTTTTCACCCAAAGAAGGAATTTTTATTTATTTATTTTTAACTTTTATTTTAAGCTCATAGGTACAAGTACAGGTTTGTTACATAGGTAAACTTGTGTCATGGGCGTTTTTTGTACAGATTATTTCATCACCCAGGTATTAAGCCTAGTATTCATTATGTATTTTTTCCTGATCCTCTCCCTCCTCCCACCCTCATAAAAGCCCGACTGGGTGTTGTTTCCCTTTATGTGTTCATGTGTTCTCATCATTTAGTTGCCACTTATGAGTGAGAACATGCAGTATTTTAAAAAATTCTATAAATATTATGGACCCTTATTCTAGAACTTGATTAACTTATTTGGAGATAGTTTGATCCTTTTAATGCTTGCTTTTGAGTTTTGTTGGGAAAGACCAGCACTGCATTAGTGTAGGACTAATTGTAACACACCACTGGAGTGATCACCTTCCAGGTAGTTTATCTGATGCTGCTGTTGGAAACATGGACTCTTCCTGGCCCTGCATTTCCTCACTGGATATGTGTCTCTTTCAGTTGGTTCTTTTCTTGGCCTTAGGTAGTTTTTTTACACATTGTAGCTAATGGGGACACTCACTATTTCCAGCCCTTTGTGAACTCTACGGATTTTCCCTTGTAATTTGTTAAGGTAGTTTTTTCCCGGACTCCGGGTGACTTTTTTCATATGCACACACTGATCAGTACTCAACTGAAGACTTTAAAGAAACTCTGTAGAGCTCTGCAGTGCTCTATCTCGGCAGGTTCCATCTTTTGACTCTGCTTGGTTAATTCTATCAACCTTACCCTTACCATGCCTCCACCTAGGTCTTCTCAGTTCAAAGTACCTCTGGCACCCCTGCCTGGTTTTTGTCTCTTTGTGAGATGGCCTGGAAACTCTTTCTAGATAGTAAGCTGGGACCATCATTAGGTTTCCCTCATTTGTTTTCTTGACTCTCATAGATCACTGTCCTTTTCTGCCTGATGTTTAATGCCTGAATACCAATGTTTCAAATTGTATACCTATTATTGTCGTTGCTATAATTACGGTTATTATTTTATATGAAGTACAAGAATAAATCCAGTACGTTAGTCCATCTATCTTGAAAACAGAGGTTTCTATATTCACAGTGTTTTCCTAAATTGTATTCTTTATTCTTTTAATGCTTGTGTTATTCCATATTTGCTCAAGGAAAACTTCATATTGATGCAAAGGTTATTTTGCTTGAATTTTTGGTTTTACAGCTTTATAAAATAGTCTAGATTGTTTTGTATACATTCTTTCCACAGACTGATTATCTGTCACGCCTCAAATGTCATGAGTTTTAATTGCAGACTTCACTAGTTATAAATTAAACCTGTTATTTTAGTAACTGGGTTACCTTGAAAAATGTACTTCACTACATGAGTAGTTAAGCTAATTTTCTTTTTTAGTTAAGCTAATACAATACCTTCTATCTTGCTCTGTTGTAGGAACTAAATAAAATGTTAAATATCGTAAGTCCTGATAGAAACCTTAATATTTAATACACATTTAAAACATGGTATATTATTTTACCTTTCTTCTGTCTCAGAGATAAGTATATCGATCATTAATTGTAAGAATCAATGTGGAGATTTCACTACTAGTATTTTTGTTTTGTTTTGTTTTGTTTTGTTTGTGTTTGTTTTTGTTTATTTTTTGGGGGGGGATGGAGTCTCACACTCTGTCGTCCAGGCTGGAGTGCAGTGGAGCGATCTCAGCTCACTGCAAGCTCCACCTCCCAGGTTCACACCATTCTCCTGCCTCAGCCTCCGGAGTAGCTGGGACTATAGGCTCCTGCCACCACGCCCAGCTAATTTTTTGTATTTTTAATAGAGACGGGGTTTCACTGTGTTAGCCAGGATGGTCTCGATCTCCTGACCTCGTGATCCACCCATGTCAGCCTCCCAAAGTGCTGGGATTACAGGCGTGAGCCACCGCGCACGGCCGCTACTAGTGTTTTAATTGTCCTATTGCACCAGTAATTATTTAGAAAAATGATATCTTCAACTAATTTAAAAATAATTCCTGAGGTACCTTCATTTTATTCTCTCTCTTTCTGAAATCAGATAAGTAAGTACATGATCAATGGTTTCTGCATGCACTAAACATAATGTGCCATTAATCTTGGAGTCTGCTGGGTTATAAGTGCTGTGTCAATATATCAAACTCTCACCTCCATCTGCCCATCAGAATGTATTACACACCTCACAGAACTTGAGACAGGAAACCAATATCAAGTGACAGGGTATCAGAGCATCTTTAATGTCTGACATAATTCTCTCTCTGCCACATAATTATGTTAGGATTCATTTTTATCTCTTTCTTGAGGCTTAATGAATGGCAAATCATTACTAGTTCAAATATAGCTTATGAATTGTTTATTTGAATTTCAAATAACTTTGAGCAAAATTTGTTCATGAAAAATAAATTTCTGAGCAGAAAATCATTACTTATTATATTGGTAGTTGGCTTTTTTGAATTTCTGTTGTAAGCCCCAAAGAACAACTAGACTTTAAAAGAATAAAAAAGGAAGAGAGAGAGAAAAAAAGAAGAGAGGAGAGGGGAGAACAGAACAAAACAGAACATAATAGTAGAGAAAGACTCATGAGAATGAGCAAAAAAACTGTATTGGTTTTATTGGACCAAGATTTCCATCTACCTCCTAGTGTACTCAGTCATGTGAATGGTACAGGGTAGCAGAAGAAATGTGGTAAAGACAACTAAGCAATAGGTTAGAAATCACAGATGCTTCATAACAGAGAAGGTAGCAAAGGGCAAATTTGCTTTCTCCATCTCCCTCAATCTTTATGCTTCTAGTACTAATCCAATACTGTTGATATAGTTTAAAGTAGGTTAACAGTGAGAGAATAATGGCAGCATGGTTTCAGAATAATGTGGAATGGTGTATAGTAGATTAGCTGGAGAATGTTAAATACCTGAAAATAAAGACAGAGAGGAACACGTGAACAAGGTGAGAAGGGGTGACAAAAGCAGTAATGAACAATGTCTACAGAAAAGGTACAAAGAACGCAAACAGACACTTCTCAAAAGGAGATGTATATGCAGCCACCAAGCATATAAAGTTCAGCATCACTGATCATTAGAGAAATGCAAGTCAAAACCACCATGAGATACCTTCTCACACCAGTCAGAATAGTTATTATTAAAAAGTCAAAAAACAAAAACAAGAAAAAAAACAGATGCTGGTGAATTTGTGGAGAAAAAGGAACACTTTCACACTGTTGGTGGGAGCGTAAATTAGTTCAGCCATTGTAGAAGACAGTGTGACAATTCCTCAAAAACCTTAAGACAGAAATATCCTTCAACTCAGCAATCACATTACTGGGTAGATACCCAAAGGAACATAAATCATTCTATTATAAAGACACACGCACACGTATGTTCACTGCAGCACTATTCACAACAGGAAAGACATGGAATCAACCCAAATGCCCATCAATGATCATCTGGGTCAAGAAAATGTGGTACATACACACCATGGAATACTATGCAACCATAAAACGTGAACAAGATCATGTCCTTTGCAGGGACATGGATGGAGCTGGAGGCCATTATCCTTAGCAAACTAACACAGGAACAGAAAACCAAATACCACATGCAGTGGGAGCTAAACGATGAGAACTCATGGACACACATAAGAGAACAACACACACTGGGGCCTGTCAGAGAGTGGAGGGTGAGAGGAGGCAGATAATCATGAAAAATAACTAATGGGTACTAGGCTTAACATCTGGGTAATGAAATAATTGGTACAATAAACCCCCATGACACACATTTACTTATGTAACAAAACTGCACCTCCTGCAGATGTACCCCTGAACTTAAAATAAATGTTAAAACTAAGAAAAGTTACCAGAAATACCACTGTTTCTGTAACTTCATAAGATATATTCTGTTATGATGCCCCTTTTACAAAGGAAAAGAATTGTGCAGAGAACCTCAAATACAGGCAAGATGGTGAAGAATTGTTTCTCCATTTTCCTCCTCACAACTAAAACCCTGGAAATAAAGCAAGAGGCAACAAAAGAACACTGAACGATGATAAAAAAGAAGCTGAACATGTTTGGGACTCCAGGATTGGAGAAACACAGCAGCAGCAGAGAGTCTCATATGCAACAAATTGTGACTTAGACCAGGATTTCCTGACCTCCTGTATAGCAAAATAAGGTGGGTCAGTAGTTTTATTCCTCTCCTGGATTAAAAAAAAAAAAAAAGTTCCACTGACATTATCAGGCAAGTCTGACACCATGCTGGCCAGGGGGTTGCATCAGGAAGCCTGATAGATACAAGATTCAAGAGACCAGTGGACACACTCTCCTTTCCACTGAGCCCGAAACTCCCCTGACTCAGCAAGAAACAATGGGCAGTAGGGCAGCATCAGTAAGGGGGATCTGACATAGCCTTGCAAACGGACATGAAGGCATAGGAATAAATAATAAAAACAAACTGTATAAAATGAACAGAGAATCACTAAATTGTGGACAATCAAGGGGACAACTCAATTTGTAATTGGAATCTCCAAAGGAGGGGATGTAAATATTAGAAGAAATAATGTTTTTTTTTAACTTATCAGAAACTATTAGCCCCAGGGGGAGAAAGTATGGAAAATTAAAACTACACTAAAGTACATCAAAATCTAATTGCTTAAAACCCATGATCCTGAGAAAATGTTAATAACAGTCAGATTTTGTAAAAGATACATTATACTGAGGGGTATGAAAGTAGAATAAAAGCAGACTTCTCATCACAAACAATTCAAGTCAGAAGACAGTGGAGCAACATCTTTTAAGTATTGAAGAAAACAAATATCATGCTGGAATTCTGTTCTCAATCACATGTCTTTCAAAAAGAAATGTAAAACAAAGACTTTTTCAGGCTTATGAAAGGTTAGAGATTTTTATTACCAGTTACCCATGCTAAAGTAAATACTATAGCGAGTCCTTAAAAAAAATTATATCGAATTGAAATCCGCATTTAAACAACAAAAGAAATAACACTGGAAATGATCATTACATGTATAAATATAAACATCATTTCTAATTTTTAAAACAGTTTTTAAATATAATTACTCATTTAAAGGAAATAAAAAAGGAATGCACTTAAAAATATATGACATGTATGGAAATGTTATGACAACAGAAGAAAGTTTTGGGAAGGAGAAACAAAAATATATCACTGTGGTATTCTAATGCGGTGTGTAAGGAAGTACACTATTGCTTGAAAATAGACTGTGATAAATATACATACGTACTATATAAACCCCAAAGCAACCACTGAAAGAACAAAACAAAAAGTAATAGCTAATAAGTAAAAAGGGAGATGTATGTAATAATAAAAAATACTTGATTTTTTAGGAAATAAAGGAACAAAGGAAAAAAGAAAAAGGAAATAAATAAATGGGAAAAATATAGCGAAATGGTAGATCTAGATCAAATATCAATATATGCATTGATTAAAAATTACCTAAACATCAAATTAATGTCAGTCTTTCATATTATATGAAAAGTAAACTCCAACTATATTATTCTTGCAGGAAACCAACCTTAAATATAAAGACAAAAAGAAGTTTAAAACAGAAAGATTGAAAAATGTACCCCATTTCAACACTAATGAAAAGCAATCTAGAATTTCTTTGTTATTATGAAACAAAGTAGTTTTCGGAGAAAAGAATATTGCCAGGAATGTAGTGGGCCATTTTTTAAAATAATAAAGAAGTTGATTTGTCATGAGGACTTACCCTAAATGTGTATTCATCTAATAATAGAGTTCAAAATACACGAATTGAAATCTGATAAAAATAGCAATAAGAAGCAAATGGATCCACAATTGTATTTGGATACTTCAGTACCATTTTCTCAATAATTGATACAATAAGAGAGAAAACAAATAAGAATACAGACTTGAACAGCAATATTAATCAACTTGACTGACAATTATCAACAATCTTTGCAAAAACAGAAAAACACATACTCTATTCAAGTCTATGTTGAATATTTTCTAAGATAGCCAATATTCTAGGCAATAAAACCAAAATCTGTTTTAGTCAAGGCTGTGCAGAGAAACAGAACCAATAGAGCTAGAATGTGTGTGTATGTGTGTATATGTGTGCACATAAAGTGGGAGAGGAGAGAGAGAGAGAAAGAGAGAGAGAGATTGCGAGGAATTATATTATCAGGTTGTAGGTGCTTCAAGTTCTCCATCTGCAGGGCAAGTCAGTAGGCTGGAAACCCTGGAAAGAATTGATGTGACAGGTTAGGTACAAAGGAAATTTGGAAGCAGAATCACCAAATTTAATTCCAATCATTCGAATTATGTTTTCTATGAACTATGAAATTGAATTAGAATTCAACAAAAGAAAGAAATCTGGATAACCCCCAATATTTGAACACAAAATAAAATATTTCTAAATAAAACTCTCATGTGCATTGCAGTATTATTCCCAAGAGGAATTACATGGAAAAAACCTAAATGACCATTAATGGATGAATGAAAAAAGAAAATATTATTTTTAGATACATGAAGGAATATTATTTAACCTTAAAAAAGGAAATCCTGTCATTTGTAACAGTGTGGATGAAGTTAGAAGATATTATACTAGGTGAAATAAGCCAGACACAAAAGACAAATCCTGTATGATCTCATGATCTATGGAAGCGAAAATGGTCAAACTCAGAAGCAGAGTAGAACAGTTGTTGCTATGTATGGCAAGGAGAAGAAAATGGGGAGATATTGACTGAAGGGTACAAAGTTTCAGTTATGCAAGACAAATGAGTTCTGGGATTTAGTGTACATCATGGTCACTAAGTTAGCAATAATTGAAATTTGCTAAGAGGTGTAGAGCTTAGCAAATCTGTGGTTCTCACCACACACACACACACACAAAGAAAATAGCAACTATGTGATATGTTAACTAGCTTGATTATGGTGATCATTTCATATTACAAATGTATATCAAAACAACAGGTTGTGCATCTTAAATATACACAATTTGTACTTGTCAATTATACCTCAATAAACTGAAAAATTAAAGAAAATGTTTAGAAAAAAATCAATGAGGCCAGGTGCGGTGGCTCATGCCTGTAATCTCAGCACTTTGGGAGGCTGAAGCAGGCGGATCCCCTGAGGTCAAGAATTCAAGACCCGCCTGTCCAACATGGTGAAACCCTGTCTCTCCAAAATAGAAAAATTAGCCAGCCATGATGGCAGATGCCTGTAATCCCAGCTACTCGGGAGGCTGACACAGGAGAATCGCTTGAACCCGGGAGGCGGAGGTTGCATGAGCCAAGATCGCGCCGTTGCACTCCAGCCTGGGTGACTGAGCGAGATGCTATCTCAAAAGAAAAAAAAAGGGAAAAAAAATCAGTGAAATTCATAGTGTAAATATACTAAAAAGAAGAAAAAGATCATCTCAAGAGTTAAAGGATTTAGAGAAATCCACCGTCCAACCCTGATTAAAACGAATAACAACAAAAACTTCAGAAATATATGCATATAAGCATATCTCTTAAACCTCATGGAAGGCATCTATGAAACACCTATAGCTAACATTGTACTTAATGGTAAAAGACTAAATCCCTTCCCATTGGGATAACAAACATGGCAAGTATGTGCGCTCTTATGACTTCTGCTAAACATTATACTGTAGATTCTACCTGCTGCAACAAGGAAAATAGATAAAGTAAATCTAGATTGCAAGGAAAAATTAAAACTCTCTTTATTTATGTATTCATAAGTAAACTTGCTAAACTGACTTACTTGTTCTAGGAATATGATAGTAGATTCAGCAGAATTTTTTTCTATAGATCATGACACATAATGGGGAAAAACAGCCTATTCAACAAATGGTGCTGGAAAAAACAAATATCCATAGTGCAGAAGAATGAAATTGGACTGTTACCTCACATCGTATACAAAAATCTACTCAAAATAGATGAAAGGCTTAAATATAAGACTTCAAAATAGATTACAGGCTTAAATGTAATACTTGTTTTTTCTATATATCTGTAGAAAAAATTCTGCTGTAACTACTGTGATATTACTAGAACAAATATTTCAGTTTAGCAGATTTGCTTAATATTCTTAATACTCTGAAACTGAAAATTATGAAATATTAGTGAGGTAAATTAAAGAAGAACTAAATAAATGAAGAGATACAGCGAGGTCACAGATAAGAAAATTCATTATTGTTATGGTGCCAGTTCTCTCAAATTGGTCTATAAGTTCAGTGTAATCAGAATTAAAACCCCAGCTGCCTTCTTTGTAAAAACCGACAAGCTTATTTAAAAATTAATGTGGAAATGCAAAAATAATTTAATAAAGAAGAACAAGGTTAAAGGAGCTCCCTTTGTGATTCCAAGATTCACTATGATGCTAAAGTAATCAAGAGAGTGTGACATTAGCATAAAGAGAGGCACTAGTTCAATAAAACAGAGAAGAGGACCCAAAACATACCCACACACCTACATGGACAGCTGATTTTTTAAGAAAGGTGCCAGGACCAGTGATGGGTATAAAGTGTAAGATTTTCAACAAACGGTGCTGGAACAATTGAATAAATAGGAATTTAAAAAAGCTTCTTTCACAATATACACAAAAATTAATTTGACATGGATTATAGCTATTACAGTCAAAAATACAAAACTTCTATTAAAAATTACAAGAAAAATTTAGTGACTTTGGATTTGGCATATATTTTGATAACATTCAAAGTATAATCAACAAAAGGGAAAAAGTACTAAAATACTAACACATCTGAATGGGAAGAGAGGAAGTCAAACTATCCCTGTCTGCAGACGACAAGATTCTATATCTAGAAAACCCCATAGTCTTGGCCCAAAAGCGAAGAGCAATAAAGAACTTCAGCAAAGTCTTAGGATAAAAAATCAATGTACAAAAATTACTAATATTCCTATACAACAATAGTCAAGCTGAGAGCCTAATCAGGAATGCAATCCCATTCACAATTATCACTAAAGATATAAAATGCCTAAGAATACAGCCAACCAGGGAGGTGAAAGTATCTCTACGAGAATTATAAACCACTACTGAAAGAAATCAGAGAGGGTCACAAACAAATGAATAAACAATCCATGCTCTTGGATAGGAATAATCAGTACCATTAAAGTGGCCATATCTTTTGTAGCAATTGTGAATGGGATTGCATTCCTGATTAGGCTCTCAGCTTGACTATTGTTGTTGTATAGGAATACTAGTGATTTTTGTACATTGATTTTTTATCCTAAGCAATTAGCAGTTTCAATGTTATTCCTATCTAACTACCAATGACATTCTTCACAGAACTAGAAAAAGTATCTTAAAATTCATATGGAGGCTGGGCATGGTGGCTGATGCCTATAATCCCAGCACTTGGAGAGGCCGAGCTGGGCGGATCACCTGAGGTCAGGAGTTTGAGACCAGCCTGAACAACAGGTTTACTAGAAACCCTGTCTCTACTATAAATAGAAAAATTAGCCCCACATGGTGGTTGTAGTCCCAGCTACTCAGGAACCTGAGGCAGGAGAATCACTTCAACCTGGGAGGCGGAGGTTGCAGTGAGTGAGTGAGTGGAGATCACACCACTGCACTCCAGCCTGGGTGACACAGCCAGACTCCATCTCAAAAAAAAAAAAAAAAATCATATGGAAACTAAAAAGAGCCTAAATAGCCAGGTCAATCCTAAGCAAAAAGAACAAAGCTGGAGGCATCACATAACTCAACTTCAAACTGTATTACAGGGCTACAGTAACCAAAACTTCATGGCATTGGTACAAAAACAGATCCCAAAACCAATGGAACAGAATGGAAAGCCCTGAAATAACACTGCACACTTACAGCCACCTGATCTTCAACAAAGCTGACAAAAACAAACAATGGGAAAAGGATTCCCTATTCAATAAATGGTACTGGGATAACTGGCTAGCCATATGCAGAAAATTGAAACTGGACCCCTTCCTTACAATATATACAAAAATCAACTTAAGAGAACTTAAATGTAAAACCCAAAACTATGAAAACCCTGGAAGGCAACCTAGGCAATAACATTCTGGGCACAGGAACTGGCAAAAATTTAATGATGAAGATGCCAAAAGCAACTTCAACAAAAGCAAAAATTGACAAATGGGATCTAATTAAACCAAAAAACTTCTGCACAGCAAAGCAAACTATCAACAGAGTAAACAGACAACCAGACAACCTACAGAATGAGAGAAAATACTTGCAAACTATGCATTTGACAGAAGTCTAATATCTAGTATCTATAAGGATCTTAAACAAATTGACAAGAAATAAACAACCCCATTAAAAAGTGGGCAAAGGACTTAGACAGTTTTCAAAAGAAGACATTCATGTGGCCAACAAGCTTATGAAAAAAAGTTCAACATCCCTGATCATTAAAGAAATGGAAATCCAAACCACAATTAGATGTCATCTCATACCAGTCATAATGGCTATTATTAAAAAAGTAAAGGCCAGGCGCGGTGGCTCAGGCCTGTAATCCCAGCACTTTGGGAGGCCAAGGCAGGTGGATCACGAGGTCAGGAGATCGAGACCATCCTGGCTAATATGGTGAAACTCCGTCTCTACTAAAAACACACAAAAAAAGAAATTAGCCGGGCATGGTGGTGGGCGCCTGTAGTTCCAGCTACTCGGGAGGCTGAGGCAGGAGAATGGCGTGAACCCAGGAGGTGGAGCTTGCAGTGAGCCGAGATTGCGCCACTGCACTCCAGCCTGGGCGACAGAGCGAGACTCCGTCTCAAAAAAAAAAAAAAAGTAAAAAAAAACAGATGCTGGTGAGGTTGCAGAGAAAAGGGAATACTTATCCATTGTTGACAAGAGTGTAAAGTAGTTCAACCACTGTGGAAGGCAGTGTGTTGATTCCTCAAAGAGCTAAAATCAGAACTACCATTTGACCCAGCATTCCCATTACTGAGTACATACCCAAAGGAATATAAATCATTCTATCATAAAGACACATGCATGCATATGTTCATTGCATACTATTCACAATGGCAAAGACATGGAAACAACCCAAATGCCCATCAAAGGAAGACTGGATAAATAAAATGTGGTACATATATACTATAGAATACCATGCAGCCATAAAAACGAATGAAGTCATGTCCTTTGCAGTAACATGGATGGAGCCATTGGGTCATCAGCACAGGACAGAGGTGATCACTCATTTCTCCTAGAAAGCTTTCAATGGGCAACTTTTTTAAAAAACTGGAAATTTACTTTAACTCAGGACATTATATAGTCAGTTTTCTTTTTCCCTTTTTTTGTAAGTTCTGTTCTAATCTCTATCCTTTGCTGTTACTTCATCTCTTAACATTAAACATGTGAATGCCACTTGGATCTGTCCTTGAATTCTCCTTTGAGTCTATCTTTACTCATTCCTTTGATGGCCATGTCTATTTATACGCTGATTCCTCTAAAATTTACATTTTCATCTCTGACTCCTACTCTGAACTCCAACTTCCCAAATCCTACTGTCAAACTGATGGCTCCGGTGTGAATCTGATAAGTGCCTCAAATTTAACCAGTTAAAATAAGTGCCCCTGATGTCACTCACCAGCCCCTTCTCACCAGTCTTCTCTGTTGATGGGAAGTCCATCTTTACAGTTGCTCAATACAAACCTTAACTCTGCCTGTTCTTAACATCACATCTGGACCATTAGGAAATCCAGTTGGTTCTATTTTCAGCTATGAATATAGTTGTACCTAACCATTTAAGATCATCCTGGCACTTGCCTGATACAAACCATCTGAAAATCTTTTGAGTATTTTCCTCCCTCTCTCTTAACTCTAGCCACACCAGCTTTCATGCTTGTCCTGACCATGTTAGACACACTCACCTTTATAGAACATGAAAACATCTAGGTGCAACATTTTGGGTAAAGCTATTTTTCTTCTAGTCTCCTTAAGAATTGGCAAACGTCAATTTTATGTAAACAGTACATTTTGAGATATGGCTAATTAAATATAAATTGCAAACAAGGAAACTATAAAAACCCTAAAATGAGAGGTAATGAAATCTTTTTTGAATCTATCTGCCCTGGGTTCATTGTGCCTTCTCTAAGCACTTGTAGCAGCAAGCATGCTATTGATATAGGAGTCAAGAAGGAATTACTTAGGTAGATAGCAAGGTCATGGGAGTCCTTGGTAAGGCTCTTCTTTTTAATGAAAAGCAGCCCCAAATTATTTTCTAACAAATAGCAGCCTGCAAGCCGTGAGCTTGTATGGGTGAATGCTGGCAGGAACTAAGGACTAGACTTTTTCAAAATGGCAGGTCCATCTTCCCTTCTCTGCCAGTCACGTGTACTGTAGAGGAGCAGACAAGATGGTGCCAATTAACAGGAAAGACCATTTGCATAATCTTGAGTGGGAGGATCAGCCTTCCCTGTGCACTATAGGGACTATAGGGATCATAGCTGATGGGACTAATCTGTGAGCCCTGTGTAAATCAGACACCGCCTCCTCTAGCCTCCCTATAAAATCTGCTGCAGTCTGCCACCTCCCCTCCCCACTTTTTCAGTCTTTTATATCTCTCTCTCCTGATCTCTCTCTTGCAAGGAGCTGCTCACCTTTCTCCTTTCTCCTTTCTTTTATTAAACTTTCCACTCCTTAACCCGCCCACACGTGTCCGTGTCCTGAATTCTCTATTGATGTGTGACAACAAACTCCAGGGTATATACCCCAGACAGTGTAGCCACTTCGTTATTACATTGAATTATTTTATAAAACCACCTACTATCAGAGAGCATGCTCCTTTGAAAAAAAAGGAATATAGTTTTTCTTTTGTTATTTCTGTAGTGCCTAGCGGATTAACTGACACACAGAAAGCATACAATAAATATTTGTTGAATTAAATGGCTATTACTCTATTTAACATTTATTGCTAATCATGCAGATATAAACTGTCTGCCAAGTAGCTTCTATGGCTACTTGAACAAGTTTCAATATGGAGGGTTCTAAAAGCTTTGTAGAGTTAACTTTGTCAACCCAATTATTTCTGAAAATGTTTTCAATATTTTTAAAGTTTTTAAATATACAACATAAATTATCCCAACACACAACAAAAGCAAAAGTAAGAATTTCACTTAAAAAAGGGGTCAGTTTAATTATATAAAGTTCAATTCAAAGTATAACCTTCAGTTTTTGCAAAAATGTATTAGCTCTAATCCCTCAAAGTAAAGGAGGTAAGGCAATTGAACAGCCTGCGAAGGTAAAGAGATTTTCCAGTGAGAAATATGCTAATTGACAGGCATATTTAAAAGTCTAAAATAAACTTCAAGGATTCAAGATCATCCTTCATGTACAAAATTCAAAATTCCAAGAGAAAAATAGACACATGGCAATTAAAAAAAAAAACAATAAAGGGAATATGTTGTGTTTTGGAACTGGCACTAAAACATACTTGTGAAGAAAAAAGTAAACTTACTACTTTAAGATTTCAGTCTTATTAAATTTGCTTTAAAATGTTTACAAATTATTAAAATTTTTGAGAAATATGTTGTCTCATTATTTTTAGCTATCTAAAAAACATTAAATGTAAGTGTCACTTCAAAAATACACTAGTGAGTGATGTTGGCAAAAATGGCAGAGTACACAATGCCAATAGCTTCTCCCTTCATAAAGCAATAAAAATAGGTAAAAACGGTCAGAATCAACATTTTTCTAATTCTATAGGCTAATCAACAGCTTGCAGCAAGTAGGAGAACAATTAATCAAGGAAAAAATAAAACAGCTGAATCATAAAAAGACGAGCACATTTTGCGGTGTTTTATGTTACCCTGGGGCTGTATCTTGCTCCCTAACTTGGTGGTGGTTTTGAAGAGTACACTTCACACTGTATTTTTAGTTGTTTTGCATGCCTTATAATTTTTTTTGTTGAAAGCTGAACATGATATCATAATGCAGCAATATGAAAGTTAGCTTACCTCCCTTCCCCAGAATTTCCCGTTGCTTCTTGTTGTAGTTATTGGTTGTTTAATTAGTGATTTTTCTGAATTACATTTTTAAAGAGTGTATTCTTTATTCGGTGTAGCCACTAAAGCCTCTGTTCCATTATCTCATTGGTGAGCTAGTGATTGAACATTTCACAGATGGGCTCGGTAGATTTTTGAATTTTCCCTTCTACATTTGGTCAGGGAGTTTTCAGTTCTTCCTTAGGTTCCATTTTCTGCTAGCTCAGAGGCTGAAGATCAGCCAGAAGCAACAGGTTACAGGCTTCTCCTACCTTTCCTGAACATGCACACAGCCCTTTGCATTACATGGCTTAGAAATTACCAGAAATATGTTGGGATACTTCAAAACTCATTCCTCAAAGAATCTGATATCACAGATTTTCCTCTCAATCTTCTTTGTTTGTCTGTTGTTTACAACTACTATTTATGGGTACATGCAGCAATGACTAATATATTTACCTATAAATATTTTAAATATTTTCAACAAACTTTCCCCAGGGCATGAGATTAGGAGAGATCTGGGTAAGAAGAGATAAAGGCAAGCCCTTTGAGCTGGTCATCCAGGGAGCCACTAGACAAGTAAAATAAAAAATAAAAATAAAAAAACACACTCTTTGCAAATGAGATCTGTTCTGCTTCTTTAATTCTTTTAACATATTTATAATAGCTAAAAGACTTTGTTTGCTACATTCAAAATATATGCCTCCTGAAAGACATTTTCTATTTGCTGTTTTTCTTCCCTCTATGTATAGGCATACTATTCGGTTTCTTTATATTTTTATTAAAAATGGATATTTTAGGTAATACAACAATTCTACTTTTAATTCCTACATCCTTCAAGGTTTATAGTCATCAGTTTGTTGCTAGTTCTGGTTGTGGTAGTGTTGTAATTTTTTTGTTGCTGCTGACTTGTTTAGCACTTTCCTAGATAATTCTGTACATTATATATTGTTTGAAGCGTGGAGCTATTGAATTATCTGTTAGTTTTTCATTTGTAATTCATGTTTCATTGTTAAGACTGGCTTTTATGGGGTCACTTCTATGTTATTTTAATTTAGTGGTGAGCAATGAGTTGCTAGAAAATTGCCTTCAGTGCCCTACCTGTATGCCTTACATCCTTTTCCAAGTAGATTTGTGTGAGAAAGAAAATCTTTGGATTTCAGAAAGTTTATGACACAGCCTTAGCTCTTGCTTCCTGCTTGTGCAGGCAAGCCAAAGCTGAGTAACTGGTGCCTCTCCTTTCCCAGATCTTTCCTGGGCATATACACGACCCATGAGATCCCCAGGCATATGTTGGAGTTTCTCACAATCTCCTATGATTGTTTATTCTCCCAGAATTTCTTTTTAAAATTTCCAGCTAGGCTTTTCTTTGCTTCATCTGAAACCACAACCATAGGTATCTGAAATACTGTCAGCAATTTATTATTGTTTATTTAATGTTCTGGGGGTAGGCTACAACATTCTGCTCCATTAAGCTGATCTCTGAGTAAAATAAAATAGCCATTGCTTTCTAAGAATAGATTTTTGATTTTTAGAGATCTGCAAGTTCAGAACAAATATAACTGAGCCCTGGGGTGGTGCTTTTAATGAAACTTCAAAAGTAGCCATATACCTCCATTGTTTGCCATGCTGCCAGCTTTTTGCTATATCACCACTGAGCTTAGGGGGAGGGAGGGAAAAGTAGATAACTCTAAGTTAGAACTGTCTTACCAAGGTGATATGGTTTGGTTGTGTCCCCAGGCAAATCTTACCTTGAATTCCCACATGTGGTGGCAGGGACTGGGTGGAAGGTAATTGAATCTTGGGGGCACTTCTTTCCCTTGCTGTTCTCATGACAGTGAGCAAGTCTCACAAGATCTAATGGTTTTATAAGGGGGAGTTTCCTTGCACAAGCTCTCTTTTTGCCTGCTGGCATCCGTGTAAGATGTGACTTGATCCTGCCTGCCTTCCACCATGATTGTGAGGCCTCCCCAGCCATGTGGAACTGTAAGTCCATTAAACCTCTTTCTTTTGTAACTTGCCCAGTCTCGGGTATGTCTTTTTCAGCAGCATGAGAATGGACTAATACACAAGGTTCAATAGTTTCTCTTTGGTAGATAATATTCAGTTTGTTCTTTGGATTTGAACAAATGCAAAAGTTCTGAAATCATTGATTTTATTTATGTTGTCCATATTTCCTTTGTTTTAGAAGGGGAACAAGTTAACTGAGCACTTCACTTTGCCATTCTGGTAGATGATCAGGAAAATTTCTTTAAACTTTAGGGAATGATAATGAACTAGAATAATATTTATTTAGAAAGCCCATATAAATCTTCTGGGCATTTATAATAATAAGATAACATTTTTTGTTTCTTATATTTTATCTATTTGTATATGCATTTTTGTTTCTTGAATATATTTTATGCATTATCATAAATTTTAGGATTATCAGTACTAGTTACGACTGCTTTTGTTTTTTCCTCACATGTGCAAAACCAAAGACATAACTTTCTTGAGACACTTACATGTTTGTCTGATTCCCTCATATATTCAATTTTCTCTAATTAGTTATTTTCCATGCACTCAGATCTTCTTTTGTTTCCAGCATAATATGGTCCTAAACTAAGGTATATTCAAAGAGTCAAAAACAAGCTTCAATAATTCCAGAGAAATTGTAATTTATTGTTTCTTACAAACAACTCCTACCAGTAAACAACACAGGGACTTAGGATGTGGAAACTACCCAGCTATTGAGAAAAACTAAAATGTGGAGTCTTGGATGAAAAAGAACTTTATAAAAGTAACAAACATATTAATTAGTTAAAGAAGCATCCTGTAGGCATATTTGTTAAGTTTTAACTGATAGGACAGAATCAATGTGTTTAGTTTAACTGAATTTAGTTTTGACATTTTGAAAATGTGGAACAGGAAACCATGTAAGCTGATAACACAGAATTTATTATAATGCCATCTACTATCATTGTCAACTGATTTGTGCTCATATCTGGTCTAGTCTTGCCACCAATAACCATATCACATTCTTAAAGAAATACAGCACAGGAATTAAATTTATTATTTTTTTTTTTCTGTAAGAGTCATACCAGATTTGGGGACTAGAAATTGGGATGCTGTTAGGAACAATATCTAAAAAATGTGGAAGTAGCTTTGAAATTAAGTAATGGATAGAGGCTTGAAGAGTTTTGAGGAACTTGACTAAAAAAATGCTAGATGATTTACTATATTAGCTGTTTTTATGCTGTTGATAAAGACATACCCGAGACTGGGCAATTTACAAAAGAAAGAGGTTTAATGGACTAATAGTTCCATGTGGCTGGGGAAGACTTACAATCATGGCAGAGGACAAGGAGGAACAAGTAACATCTTACATGGATGTCAGCAGGCAAAGAGAGAGCTTGTGTAGGGAACTCCTCTTTATAAAACCATCAGATCTCATGAGATTTATTCACTATCATGAGAACAGCACAGGACAGACTTGCCCCCATGATTCAATTACCTCCCACCAGGTCCCTCCCATAACATGTGGGAATTCAAGATGAGATTCGGGTAGGGACACAGCCAAACCATGTCACTATATTTTCTTGAAAAAATTCTTAGTATAAATATGAATGTTAAAAGTAATTCTGATGAGAACTTGGACAAAAATTAACATGTTAGTGAAAAATGGAGAAAAGTTTTTTTTTGTTATAAAATGGCAGATAACTTAGCAATATTGTATTTTAATGTTTTGTGGCGAGTATAATATACAAGTGATGCACTTGGATTTTTAGCTGAGGAGATTTCTAAGCAAAGTGTTGCAGGTGTGGCCTAGTTTTTTCTTGCTGCTTTGAGTAAAATGCAAGAGGAGAAAAATAAACTGAAAAAGAAAATGCTGAGCAAAAATAAACTAGCACTTAATAATTTGGAAGATTCTCAACCTACCCAGACAAAATACTCTTGAAATAAGGCCAAGGGTGTGGCTGGACAACCATTTGCTAGATAGATTTGCTGTGTGACTCATGCATCCAGTAAACCATCTCAG
Organism: Homo sapiens; assembly: GCF_000001405.40. Taxonomy (NCBI): domain Eukaryota; kingdom Metazoa; phylum Chordata; class Mammalia; order Primates; family Hominidae; genus Homo; species Homo sapiens. The sequence continues at coordinate 49,295,351 of NC_000007.14, read as the reverse complement.
CAAAAGCCAGAAATAGAGATGTGATTGCACAGGAAATATCCACTTTTGTCTGCTGGTTTGAACTCCCACGTCTAGCACAGGAGGCCAACAAGGTTTTTGAGAATTTTATGCCAGCATAGCACTGCAAGCCTGCTTAGACTGAAAGAGGCAGAGAAGAGACAAAATAGAGGAAGGATAATTTTTAGGGCTCATGGGGCTATAACTGTCACCATAGACTGAAGGCCCAAACTAAAGGGTAGCCACTGCCCAGGGCCAAGGAGGTATGGCCACCACCCTAGTAGGTCTGCAGCACAGAGCTTGGAGTCAACAAGGATTACTTATAGGCCCTAAATCTTAGTGGAATTTACCCAACTATATTCTGGCCTTGTTTGGAATCCATGATTCCCTTCTTCTTTCAGATTCTCCTTTTTTTAATGGAAATGCCTATCCTATGTCCGATCCACCATTGTATTTTGGAAGCAGATTATTTTTCTAGTTTCACAGGGTTACAGCTGGAGGGTAATTTTACCTCATGATGAATCACACCTCAAGTCTCACTCATATCTGATTTCGATGATATTTACGTAAGACTTAGAGCTTCTAGTTGACACTGGAATGAGTTTAAGCTTTTTAAAATGTTGGAATAGAATGAATGTATTGTGCATAGGAGAAGAATGTGAATTTTGCAGGGCCAGAAGGTGGTCTTACGAGTGGAATTGTCCTTCCCTAAAATTTACTTGTTAAAGTCTTAACTCCCAGTACCTCAGAATGTGACTGTTTGGAAATAGGTTCTTTGCAGATGTAATTAGTAAAGATAGGATGAGGTCATACTGGCTTAGGCTGGACTCCTAATCCAATAGAACCAAAATCTTTACTAAAAGAGGAAATTGGGACACAGACACGCACATAGGGGGAACACTTTGTGAAGCCGAACCACAAAGATTGCCAGCTCGTCACCAGAAGCTAGGATAGAAGCATGGAAGGGATTCTTCCTCACACTGCCAGAAGTAACCATCCCTGTTGGCACCTTGATCTTGGTCTTCTAGTATCTGAATTATGAGACAATAAGTGACTGTTTTTTAACCTAACTAGCTTGTACTATTTTGTTATGGCAGCACTAGAAAATTAATACAGGTGACAACAAGAAAAGGTAGGAGAAACTCTTCATACTTGATGTTAAATCCAGTATTCACATGAACAAATATTTTGTATATTGGATATTTATTAGTTAATATTACCTGCCTATGATCATAAAATTGTTTTAAAAGGTGTTTTATCACACCTTTTCTTTCTCAAGGCCCTCATTTCTTTATCTCTTTATAGCACGTGAATTAACATTCAGATTTTATCAGAAATTTACATTTTAAGTAAGAAAATATCACTTTATAGTAAAGTAATTCACCTTAACGAGTTTGCATGTTTACATTTGTATCAGCAGGCTGGGGATAATGGCTCACACTTGTAATCCCAACACTTTGGGAGCTCAAGGTGGGCAGATAACTTGAGCTCAGGAGTTGGAGACCAGCCTGGGCAACATGGCAAAATCTCTCCTTTACAAAAAGTACAAAAATTAACCAGGTGTAGTGATGTGTGCCTGTAGGCCCCGCTACTCGGGAAGCTGAGATAGGAAGATCACTTGAGCCTGGGAGGTTGCAGTGAGCTGAGATTGTGTCACTGTACTCCAGCCTTGGTGACAAAGTGAGACTCTGTCTCAAAAAAAAAAACATAAATAAATAAACGTGCACCAACAGTTCTCTAGTCATTTCAGTAGCAGAATATACATTTCCACACAGCTTGCCCATTATTCAAGATGCAGATTACTATGTGTGGGACACTGAGCTAATGATATACAATTTCTGATCCTCATATCCGATTGAAGAGATGTTTGACGTGAGTAGAACATGGGAAAAATTAATTGCATAAGAGCCTTATTTAGACACAAAAGCATAACTTGTCCAGAAGTATAGCATAGTCCTGAATTTATGATCTCAGGAGTCATAGAGAATTCCAAGATTTTGGTCTCAACGATGCAGCCCTTATTATTCTACTCTTATTATTTTTGAACCTATGCATTTGACCAGGTGCCTCCACTTCAACATTTTCTGTATTTTAGTTTTAGCCTCTGCTTGGCTATTATCTCACAAAGCAGTTTAATAAAATTATCAGAGAGACAGGCTGCTCAATATTTCCCAGAAAACTGTTGCCTGACCGTCGCCCTCACGTGCACCCCTTTCCTCAGTAAACATTTTCCCTTACATCCATGACACAGTTTTATGTTACAACTATTTCTAATTGTACGTTGAGAGTGATTTTCCTCAGCTTACCTTAGGAATGCACAAGGCACACAATAAAGACTCTTGTTTTCCATGATATCCTTTAAGCAGATTATAATCACAGATATATATTGGACATTCCTAAGGTTTTGTTTAAGGAATTCAGGAAAATATGAATAGACAAGAAAATAAACCTATGCTTTACTCACTAACATTTGCCCTACAATCAGAAAATAAATACTCCCAATTAGATAACTTACATTAACAATAATTACGCACACTCAAGATTTTTTTTTCCTTTTCATACCCTGCAGTAGCCAAAGCTAAATTGACATTTGCAATGCATAACTTTGGCAAAGATGAAGTACTAGTTCTTCTACTGGGATTAATATATCACAAATTATTTTTGCCATTCCTTTTTATCTTCTCCATCCTCATGTTCATAATTGAAATAGTTCCTACCAAATTCCTGAAATAATTCCTGCCAAATTGAAATGCCCATTACCTTGAACAGATAAGTCAGTATTTTATTTCAGAAGTGTTACATTTATATTTTCATATGCTATGGCCTAAAAATAGATAGTAGTTTGAAATTACTTGCAAGGTGGTTGTAAGGACAAATGGATAGATGGGTTGTAATAAATTCTATGATTTTTACGAAAGAGACTGGGCTCTGGCCTCCAGTATCACCCCTATCTTTAAATATCTGAGTGATTTATTTCAGGTTGGTACATCTGTCAGTAGCACTTCTAAATGTAAATGTTTAGATTAGATGGGCTTCATTTTCTAATACATTTTCATAATACTATAATTAATCTTTTGCCTCCAGAAGCTTTTGAACACTGAATTTCTGGGAAAACTTTGGATAATGGTATGTGTGATGGTTAACACTGTCAACTTGATTGGATAGAAGGATGCAAAGTATTGTTCCTGGGTGTGTCTGTGAGGGTATTGCCAAAGGAGATTAACATTTGAGTCAGTGGACTGGGAGAGGCAGACCCACCCTCAACCTGGGTGGGCACCATCTAATCAGCTGCAATCTCAGATAGAATACAGCAGACTGAAGAATGTGGAAGGACTTGACTTCCTGAGTCTGCCAGCCTTCATCTCCCTCTCGTGCTGGATAGTTCCTGCCTGCGAACATCAGACTCCCAAGTTCTTCAGCTTTAGGACTCCTGGACTTACGCAAGTGGTTTAACAGGGGCTCTTGGGTTTTTGGCCACAGACTGAAGGCTGCACTGTTGGCTTCCTTGCTTTTGAGGTCTTGAGACTCAGGCTGGCTTCCTGGCTCCTCAGCTTGCAGACAGCCTATTGTGGGACTTCACCTTGTGATCATGTGAGTCAATACTCCTAATAAACTTCCTTTCATATATACATCTAACCTGTTAGTCCTGTCCCTCTAGAGAGCCCTAATACAGTATGTTAAAGAGGTAGCCATTAATGGCTTATTTAGTGGCAGGAAGGGCTCCGCTATGTTGACATAAGAGGGGTTTAGTTCACAGAAAAGTTCTCAAAAATAGAGCATGTAAGAGGCACTTATTTCTATTAATAAGACCTGATCATAAATGAGAAATATTTAAATAAGAACAGCTACTTTATTACAAATACATAATGTATAATATTTGAATTTTCATGGACTGGTACAATTTTCAAGCCATTTCACAAAAATGAATCAGAATAGCATGGATTGGTTTCTTGGTGTTTGCTGTGCACTGTCCTGGCTTGCCATATAAATTAGAGTTTAACCTTCCCTCTTCTATCTGAGTTTTGCATAAGTCTCTTCATTTTACAATTTGAAAAACTAATGCTTATAGAGCTTAAACAACTAAAGTTTAAAAGGTCACAAGGCTCTCCAATATTTTGAACTCAAGTCTTCTGATTCCGTGATTCCTCTAGAGTATTTCATATGTAACAGAGTGGGGAGGTATAGGGGTAAGAACATCTGTAGTATGGCACATGCTTCTCTCACTTGGGAATCTGCAGACACTCACAAATCAGTCTTAAAGCCGTGGTGTAGGGGCAACATTGCAGTCAGGTATGTAATCTTGGGCAGCCATTTAACATCTCTAGACCTCAATAGCATCATTTGCAAAATAAAGAGTTCAGCGTATGTGAGCTCCAAGGCTCTGTACAGCCTATAATTCAATCAATAACATAGCTTCAGAGGAAAGGCTGTACAAATTCACATAAAAACTAGATTTCTGTGTGCAGGGAGTCTGATGAATAGAGACAGGCTTCACTAAGAGTATAATTTACTGATACCAAATGCTATATTTTCGTGGTTTCTTCTACAATGGAATAAACATGATAAATTTTTAGAAACTGAATTAGATTTTTTTATATTTATTATCCACAGAAACAAATGGCTTGTTTAAATCACTAATGTATTTTTGTGTGTTTATCAATCAATAACTTTTAACAAAAATGTTCTTTCTTCCTGTGATAAAGGAAAAGCAGGGAAAACAGAAGATGCAACCACAATTTGAATAATCTTTCAAGGAAGACCTCTAATATGTCATACTAGGATTCTCTTTTCTGTCAGGGCTGCGTTTTTCACAAGTTAGAGTGGATCTTATAATTTCTTTCTCTCTTTTTCTGAAGAAATGGGATCTCATTCTGCCACCCAGTCTGGCTTGCAGTGATGCAATCATAGCTCACTGCAGCCTCAAACTCATGGGTTCAAGTGATCCTCCTGCCTCAGCCTCCTGAGTAGCTGGGATTAAAAGCACGTGTCACCACCCCCAGCTTGATCCTATAATTTCTATTTAGGAGAAAGCACTTAGAATCAAAACTTAAGTAAGTGTTTAAAAAACAACTGTGAATGCTTTTAAACATGCTACATAAAGGCCATTCATTTAGAAGCTCATGGATTTTTATAAAAGTTTGAAGCATGGTCTTAACTGCCACAGCTCCCACCATCAGGTGTGCTGAGATACCCGACCAAGAGGCTCAGGAGAAGCCAGAATAGATATATATCAGGACTTAGCTAAGGGAACCTGAGCAAAAAAGGGGCTTTATCATGAAGGATTAATTCTCAAAGTAAACCTCCAACATCCCATGCCATGGTCCATGACTATGGAATCCAATAGCAGAGCTGGTTGAGTCCAGCACTTGTGGGGCATCTCAGATCCAGGGTAGCATCCCAGAGGGTTGTGTGCAGAGATCTCAACATAGGGGATCTTCAAAAGGACATCAGCCTGAGAAAGAGGGTAAAAACACTCTGCCTGACTGCTTTGCCCAGGGCCCCAGCAAGACAGGATTTAGAGGTACACTGCTGTGGAGGGGTCGATAAATCAAAGATTGCTAAATTTTGCCAACATACAGAAATGAGTGAGGTTTTCTAGAGGGTCTGGCCACAAAGCAAGCATGTCAAATTTTGTGGTGACAGATGCTGGGCTTTCAGGAGTTGAAGATGGTGAAGCTTGTACTCTCACAGAAACCCAAGAGAGTGTGAACATTATTTGTTATTTTCTAGGCTTTACCATACATGGAAATAAGCCATCATCTATGCACACATATTTCAGTATCTGCTACCCCATACCATACCCATACTTTTTCATTACTGCGGGAATATGAATTTTGTCTTGTATCTCACTATTCTTTGCTGTACTTGATGAATGATAAATTTGTCAATAAATACTTGTTGAGTAAATTTATGAATGGTTGAATGAATGAATGACTAAATGAATCAGGACTAGATGTTCAAAGACAGACTTACTACGTCAGTCTTCACTCAAAATGAGAAACATTCCAAAAGTTCCCGACTTTGAAGCTTACCACTTAGCAACATTTAAGCAGAAAGCTAAAGATATTAATACATTTAATAGCAATTAAAAATAGATGACATTTTAAAGCATGTTGCAATTTAATATGTGCTTTCATATCTTTCTTCACTTAATTAGCATTACTTTCTTATGGGGTAGATATTATTATTCCCATTTTAAAGATGAGAAAAACAACCAATCTATGTGACAAACTTAGAATGCACATTAAGGCCTTCCTGACTTCAGAATTCATGATTATTGATCCTACACCTGATACTTTAGTATAAAAATCTACATGGGGCTGATGGTGGTTGAGGACAGGTAAGCATGGAAGCATTTGGTTTCAGGGTAGAGTTCTCCCTTATTTCCCAGGGCACTGGACTATAGTACAGGTGTTTATATCTCTTCCTTTAGGGCTCCCCTTCCATGAAACCACCACATATCCTGACCCTTCTCTTGTAGAAATAATGATTCTATGTATGCTAGCATTGCTTAAACTAAGTAAGCTGTTCTTAGGTGTGATTATGTTTATACATAAATATAAGGTTCATTTAAATTTTTTTCCACCTTCCACACCAATTTTGCATTCCATATGTCAGGCAATAAAGCACAGAAAACAAAATAATTTAGACCACCTGATGTGTGAACAGCATATAATCATATATTCTTTGTACTATACCATGTCATTTTTAAATGTCTGCTGTCTTAAATCACCTAAAACAAGAAGCTCAAACTCCAGGATAAGACATGTTAGACTTTCTGAGTTAAAATGTTGACTACCTTTCCACCTCATGTCTTTCACTTCTGTGTTTTCCAACAAGAATTATTTTACCTTTCATATGCTTTTCCCTTGATTTACAGAGGTCTGACCCATCCACCTTTTTTTTTTTTTTTTTTTTTTTTCCTTTCAGATGGAGTCTCACACTCTGTTGCCCAGGCTGGAGCGCAGTGGAGTGATCTCGGCTCACTGCAAGCTCCGCCTCCTGGGTTCACGCCATTCTCCTGCCTCAGCCTCCCAAGTAGCTGGGACTACAGGCGCCCACCACCACGCCTGGCTAATTTTTTTGTTGTATTTTCAGTAGAGACGGGTTTTTGCTGTATTAGCCAGGATGGTCTCGATCTCCTGATCTCGTGATCCACCCGCCTCAGCCTCCCAAAGTGCTGGGATTACAGGCGTGAGCCACCACCCCCAGCCCCCATCTACCTTTTAAAAGTTATTCTTGAAGAGAGGCACAATGTATTTTTCATTGGCATATTCTAAATTTTACTTAGCCTAAATTTAGCTTAGTACAGTCCCCACATATAAAAGGAAATCAGATAATATTTGCTATATTATTCATTCATTTTTGGATTAGAATATGAAATTCTCTCTCTGTACCATGCACTTTGCTTAATATTAACTATAGAAAAATGCATAAAACATGTTTTCTTGTTTTAAATAAAAAAACAGTTGTCACTTAAAGCCACAAAACTAAATGACGTCATTAACTATAAAATAGAAAAATACATATTGCTACTTTCTGTAAGTGATATAATGGACTAGAAATGGAGGCAAAGTTAACTCCATGATATGTGGGCAGTAAGGGGAATTGGTGAAAGCTATGAAGAGAAAGTGTCATTTAAACTGGCGATTGAACCAGGAACTCACTGAGCAGCAGTGAGTAAAAAGCTCCATTGCCTTAAGCCTTAAGCTCCACAACTGTTTCTCCAAATGTGACAGTACATTCTGAAAATAATTATGAGGATCTGAATTGTTATCCTGCTTCCTAGTCAGTGAGTTAGGCTGCCACAGTTTCACAAATGCTGAGAGGAGACACTAGACATCTGAATCAGGTACAGAGGGCTTTTCTAGTTAAAACAGCAGGAAACCTGAGCTCCATGCTCCTGTCAGCTCCGTTTTCCCCCAAGTCAAACATGGGCGACATGGCCTGGGTGGATTTTGTGCACATACTGAGTCTGTTTCTTTCATAGGTGATGAACCTCAAGCATAGGAAACCCAAATGAAGTACAGTTGCCTAAGCTTTTTCCCAGAGGGACACACTGTTTTTATTATACTAGATAGAAGCACATCTACTCCCTTCTTCAGAAACAGTTGCTGGAAGTCCAGAGCAATTTTTCCAAGGCTATTCACTAAATGAAAAATCTTGGAAAGATCATCAGATCATCTGGAGCAAAAGGCCACCAACTCCTCTGCTCATAAGACACACAAAAATGTGAGAGATCCAGGAAGAATCATCCCCCAAAATATTTACCACTCATTTTTGCACCACCTTGTCTTCTGGTGATTTTTTTCAATAAAAGATTGTTTCCTCTGACACTTTGATTTTTCTGACCAACAGAGGCTAGGACCAAGTCTGACTAATGTGTCTCATACAGTATTTAATTAAGGGTATTTGTAATAGGATTTCAAGCATCAGAATAAGCCCATCCCATGTCAATATTGTCCTCAACTATGTCTCCAGGCTTAATAATGTCTCAAAATAGTGCAGATCTACATTAGGAACCCAGACAGGCTTCGTTTTCAATGTCGGAGTTAACCATTCCACTTGGTCTGGGGTAAGGATGTATTAGTGGATGCACAGACTCTGTCTTGGACTTGAAGGAGAAAGTCCAGAGCAACTCTATAGTCCATGCACTCTGGCTGGTGAGGTGAGGCTGACCTGAATGCTTGGCAGGACCAAAATGGTCCCATTAATTACTTTAGCTCAAGTGGTTGTGTGATACACATTGTAGAAAAAAATTGTCCAAATGGTCCACATAAAACATCAGTTGGCTCTGTTTCTGGAAGCCCTTCTCAATCTCAGTAACCAGGAGAGTCTGACTTTGGAGAGATCTTTGTAGTTATCTGGGGCTGTGTGACCTACTGGTGGCATTTACTTAAAAACTTACACATCTCTTATGACCACACTAAGGGCCATTCATTGTGTTTTTGGAAGGGAGGCAAGTTAACAACTGAAGTAACTGTACTCACGGAGTAAAGTCACGGGGAGCATATGAGCCTCCTAGGAAAAAAAAAGTGTTGCTTGCAATTTTCTCCCCAAATGGGACCTATATTATTTTGGGTGGGTACAGCTTGACAGTGTCGCCTAGTCCATGTGTCCATGTCATTAGCCACATGGCATTCATTTGACCCACAAAATGACTGAGGGACCACTCGGGATGGGATGGGGAAGACATGCAATGGCGCTTACAGGTGCAGAAGTTGGGACCATCCTTGCTGTTTCCAATAGAGTTTGCATCAAGGTTAAAGGGCATATGAGTCAAATCATGGTCAGAGTTGTCTCTCAGCAAGGGCATGGCACATCCAACAGTCAGCTATATCTAGGGAATTAATAGCAATTCAGAGAGCAGAAAGGGCCATTGTCTTTATGAGAAAATCTCCAGAGGGCAATTTTAAAGATGTGGATTACCAATGTCCCTCCTTCCTCAGTAAGTCCTGGTGTCTAAGGCCTTCCTCCTCCAGGTGCTGGGGTCGTTACTGTCTACAAAACTAGGATGTCCCACTTCAGTGGCTGTAACTTCACCCTTTGCCAATCGTCCCCTAATTTCCCCTAGACTGTTCATCTGAAAAAGTGAAGAGGAAGAGGAAAAAGGCATTTTTATACAACTTAACCAGAATTGGTATTAAATTTTTAAGCCCATTTAGGCACCGTTCCTTTCCAAAGGTTGTGCCAGCATCATTGGACTGTGATTTCCTAAGAAGTTCTTCATATGGAAACTGAATCTTGCTTCTCTTTCTTCTGTAATCTACTGCAATGAATACCTGATCCCTGTAGATACAAGGGTAACCTGTGGGGGAGAGTAAGTGTTCTACAATCTGATGGCAGAATCTCAGTCTCTTGGCTGTGTCCGTGGGCTGTGTTTCTTAGCTTTTATTCCCCACGGAGGTAAAAAAGAATGGCTAGAGGGGGCCAGAGTTGGGTCAATTCCCTCTACCACCGGTGAAGTAAAACTCAAGTAAAGTGTTTTCTCAAGTAAAGGGCTTTGCATTCTGGACATATTTCATAATGGTTATTTTCCCCCTCCATCTGTCAGAGACAAGACAGTTTGTTTATTTGTTTATGGCTTTTTACTGTGAGAACCTGGTGGGGTTCCTAGAGGTAAAAATAAATAAAAATGTGGGGAGGGGGGCCCAGCAGTTTCTCTCTTATATTACCCTACACGCATCCTCCAGCTATTCATCAAAATGACAATTTATGTTTCCCACGAGTTCTGGCCCCAGCAGCTTCTGCTCCAGGTGAGCTGACCTTGGCTGTGGTTCTCCGCATTTGCTGGTCTCTTCAGATTTTAGGGTGGCCATTTGCCCTGCTCTTCTCTTATAGGTCCAAGAAAAGTCATCGATTTTCAATTTGTTTATCTTTTATTTTCTTTTTTTTTCTGTAAGGATTAGAGTAACAACTGCCAAGCTTTTTATGTGTCAGAACTGACCGAGATTGTACAAGCATTTAGAAGAGAAAACTGAGTATATCCAGGCAAATTAAAATAAGCAAATCCTTTAACCTTATTGCAACCAAGTGCTCTTATGTTTTCTAAGAAAAAGGGGATGAATTACTATTTTTTTCATTATTATTTTCTCTTCTACTCTCCGCTACTCTCCTGTTCCCTGTTTCCTACTTAGCCTTTCAGAAATGCAAATATAACCTTTCACCTCCCCTTCAGCAGATATTCCTTGCAGGGCAAGTTCTCCTAACTGCATGCTCCAAGATTGATCTCTCCTGGAGAGTTGACAGTGGATTTGCAGACCAAAGCATACCTGCCAGGGAACTTCCACCCTCCAGGGTTTGCCCAGAACTCTCAGCTACCAGGTGGGCATACCAAAAGCATGCCTGCTTGGCCACTTTTACAACTTATCTCTGCCCAGATAGGTGCCTGGTAGATAAGGCACCAAGTTAGAAAGAGGACCCCTTCCCATGATCACTTCCCCCTTACCTCATAAAAGTGTCCACTTTCTGCCACAAAGGTGAAGTGGCACATTTAAAAGCAGGACACTTTGTGCCCATTCCCCATGCTAGCTTCGGAATGAATTCACTTGCTTTGAATCAGATCTCACTGTTGTTAATTGAGTTCTCCAGGTGGGGAGCAACTCACTCGCATTTTGGTTACATTATCATTTCACTTCAAATGGTTCATACAGAAATTCTTACGCATTCTCAAAATTCATGATAAGAGTGTTCAGTGCAGTACTCTATATAGAAATAAAAATTTAGAAAAAAAATATCTCTTGGTGTAGCTATGAAAACCATAAATTGTCTCCCACAATGAAGAACAACATCCAAAATAAAATGAATCAGTTTGGTTTACAAGTATGAACATAAATAAATCTCAAAACATAATACTGAGATAAGGGAAGCACAAAAGTTTGCATGTGTTATTTTGTTGTATACAGTGTTACTTACGTAAAACTTAAAATGCATTGAACAGTGGTATGGAGTTTATGGTACAAGGTACCAAGACATGCATAGGAAATGTAGAAAGCAATTTCCAGACAGTGCTATCTCTGGGGTGTAGCAAAAGGAAGGGACAGTGGCGAGGCTTTGGTTGTAAATGCAAAGACTGTAAAAGTTACAGAGATCTGAAGCAAAAATGCGAGTATATTAAAATAAAACAAGTGCTACATAAGGAAGAACTTGATATATAATATTCTCTTCTGTATGTTAGAGGATGGTTCAAAATTTTTGAAAATGAAAATCTAAATAGAAATAGTTTTTTCCTTATTAGTACAGAAGAAAAAAACAGTAGGAATGAAGGGAAGGTAGGCAAAACATATGAGGGATCAGCAAGAAGAATTTAACATTTATTAAATGACTGCCAATCTCTAGTAACTCTGCACAGCAGGCTCTCATACTTTTTCATCTTACATTCACAAACAATCCTTAATGCAAACTTTTCTTCCATCTTTACAAATAATAAGATAGCAACCCAGAGAAGTAAATAAGCATTATTTTCTGATCACACCACTAGAAATAATAAGGCTGTAGTCGAAAACCAGAGCAAACTTTTTTCAAAGTTCATAGTCACTATTTACACTTTTCAAAATTACAATCAACCCACTTTTCGAGCATGGACTTCAGTCATTTTTGCGTAACTCAGATCACCCTGGCTGGAGGGTTAACACCACTCAATTCTTTACCTTGGAATATATGAGTGGATGGCTACTCTTGAGATACAAAACAAATGGCTCCTGGCCTTTGTATCTCAGGTTCCTGCCTCGCTTCATAGTGCTTCCAGGACATGGGAATGCTTTTATTCTTGCCTTTGCCTAGAGCTTTCCTACCCTGCTGAACTCTTAGCTCCCTTGCCACAGGTGTGTCCATTGTCTCTGAAGGCATTGGGTCCACCCTCATTCCATCTGTCTGAAATCACACCATCAATCTTTATCCTCTGGTTTGGTTCAACGACCTGCATCATCTCTCAGCATTTCCACATGATGGGAAGCCCTCTCAGAGCCATAGACTGCTTACTTGGTGAAAACCAAATTGTATTCCACTACATTTTCTCTAATTTGTTGCCATTCCACTTTTACACCACCTGTTATCGGCAGCAAATCTGATGGGTCTGCAGCAAACTCAGTTTTTGCCGTCTTGGGGGAAATCATTCAGTGGAGGGGCAGAAGTAGCTTTAATGCAGAGGAAGAGACTGAGGCAAGTTTTAGAGCAGGAGTGAGAGTTTATTTTAAAGTTTTAGAACAGGAACAAAAAGAGGAAAAATGCACTTGGAAGAGGGCCAAGCAAGCGACTTGAGAGATTCAAGTGCCCCATCTGGCCCTTGACTTGGGGTTTTATACACTGGCATGGTTCTGAGGTTTGTGTTGTTTTCTCCCCTCATTCTTCTCTTAGAGTGGGCTCTCTGCCTGCACAGTGGCCTACCAGGACCTGAGAGAGGCCACACATGTGCGGTGTGTTTACTGAGGTTGTGTGCATGCTCACTTGAGGTCTTTTTCCCTTACCTGTGGGGCATTCCTATCGGAAGGTCATATACCAGTTCAACTCTGCCAGTTTGCCTCTTAGTCTGCATGCTTGAGCCCATTTGCCCATCTCCTTAGATCTTATTGGTGGCTGGTGATCACCAGCTTTAGATGTTTCCTATCTGCTGGGAGACTGCCATTCCCTGTCGCTGGCTGTGACCAATTATTATTTTAGCGAGACAGTTTAACAACCATTTGACTATCACCTGATGATTGCCTAAAATTCCTGGGAATGGGGGGGCCCTCTCCTGCCTTGCTCATCTACTCTAACATTCCCACTACATGTGGAAGAGACAGGAGCTGGAGCCACAGAACTCCTATCCTCCCCCCATAACTGCTTCCTTTAAGAGGCTGATCTTCCCTCCTTGGGCTCCTCAGACATCTTTCCATCTGTTTTTCTCTTAATCCCATCAGCAGCTTTGACTCAAAGGCTTGGGATTCCCTTTGAAGCTTTTGTTATAAAGATATAAACAAAGAACTATAAAAACACAGAGGGATCTATAAATTCTGCTGTAGGGGATCAAGGAGGACATCAAAAAGAAGGAGACTTTTGAATTAGGCCTTGAAGCATGATTAGTATTTAAAATAAAAAACACCAAGAATTCAACCAGAAAGAAAATCCAATCTCTTGCTGTCTCAATTGACTGTCCTGGCTGAAAACAGGGATATGTGACACTGTACTTTCTAACTTGCTTGGGATTTTCTAAACCATTAAGTTCTGTCTACAGCAGAGAGTCAGTGGTACTTGGGATGATTCAGGTGAAATGACAGCAGCATCTCAACTGAATGCTTTTTATAGTTGCTGCAGGTAAACTGTTGGTATCTTAAAAGCAGCTGAGTGAAGTGGAATATGGATATGTTCCAACCGACTACGTTACCGTGTGAATTGTCCGCTCAGCTAGACCAGCTTGGGAGAAGGCATGACACATGCTCAAACAAATGGCTGTCTGTCTCCTTTTTTACTTTTCTCTGCTTCAACCTCAGCCTTGAAGCCCCCCAAACTATATATTAAGATAAAATTAATTAAATAGTAAAGTATTCTGAATAGTGCATTCAAAGCCAGACATGAATGTTAATGTCAGCTTCATTTGAAAATAAAAAGTAGAATTGTGTACTGGGAAGAAAATTGTCTTTAAGTTCAAATAAATAAAGAGTTTTGAATCCTGGTTTTATCACCTTACAGGGTTACTGAGGGAAATCACTGTAAGTGAGCTTTCATTTTCTCATCCTTAAAATGGGAATAAAGATGTCAATTTCAATATGTTGTTTCAGATTTAGAAACTAGGGTTTGTTGTACAATAGCAGTAGCTGATTAAGTCATATGTTTAACCTTAAATTTAGTCAAATATTTTCTTGTTCTGGTTTTCTAACATATGAAATATAAATGCAGATTTCACGCACTAAAATTTGATGTAAATTTTAAGTTGAAATCAAGTAAAAACATTTCATTGATTCAAATGAGATATTCAAATAAAGAGAAATAAATTTATTTTATAAACATTATAATGCTAAGTACCTTTCTCACCCTCTTGCATTTAGTTGCCTGAGATACCATTCATCATTATAAAAATATTCTGAATTAAATGTGGCCAGGCATCCTGGCTCATGCCTGTAATCCCAGCACTTTGGAAGGCAGAGGTGGGTGGATCACCTGAGGTCAGGAGTTTGAAACTAGCCTGACTAACATGGTGAAACCTTGTCTCTATTAAAAATACAAAAATTAGCCAGGTGTGGTGGCGCATGCCTGTAATCCCACCTACTCTAGAGGCTCAAGCAGGAGAATCACTTGGACCCGGGAGGCGGAGATTGCAGTGAGCCGAGATAGCAGCACTGCACTCCAGCCTGGGCAACAAGAGAGAAACTCTGTCTCAAAAAGAAAAAAAAAAAAGGTAAACAGGTAACATAAACTGAATATTACTCTAAATCACAGGTATACTCTATATTTTTGCTATTTGTTATACAATTGGAAAGATAAGCAGAAATTAAACATTTTAAAGAGACATATTTTAAAATAGTCCACTCAAGAAAATTAGAATAAAAACACTTGGATTTTAATTTCATCCAAGTTGTCTTAATTCAGAGAGTGAAAATAATGAGGTTATACTATTTCATCATAAAATGGTTGTGGGTTTCAAACATTATTTTGAAATGAAATTGGAATCCATTTTTCAAAGTGAATCTTCTAGGGAATCCTCTTATATGAGCCAGGCATGAAGGAGAATGTTCTGGTTGAAGGACTTACCCAGGCCACCCACACTGCTTGCACTTAGCTGCCCCCTTCCTCCCAGCTGTCCCTGTAGACTATTCAGGGAGCCCCTCGGGGTTTACAGAATGCTAAGTATATGAGATTGAGCAAGATGATTTATTAGTTGAGTGCAAAAGTAATCATGGTTTTCGCATTGTTGGAATTTGCTGTTTGATATTGGAATACATTCTTAAATAAATGTGGTTATGTCATACAACACTTTAATGGGCATTTCTTGCTTTATTTTATGTTATTTTTTTGCTAATGACTTATTGCTTGCTGTTTATTTTATGTTTATTTTAGACTATGGAAATGATGTTAAACAAAAAACAATTCGAGTTCAAAATGGTTGTAAAGCAGCGCAGACAACTCGCAACATCAACAACACATTCAGCCCAGGAACTGCTAATGAACTTACAGTGCAGTGGTACTTGAAGTTTTGCAAAGGAGAGGAGAGCCTTGAAGATGAGGAGCACAGTGGTCGGTCATTGAAAGTTGACATCGACCAATTGAGAGCAATCATCAAAGCTGATTCTCTTACAACTGCAGGAGAAGTTGTGGAAAAACTTAACGTTGACCATTCTAGGGTTGTTCCGCATTTGAAGCAAACAGGAAAGGTGAAAAAGCTCGATAAGTTGGGTGCCTCATGAGCTGAGAAAAATTAAAGAAAAACATCATTTTCAAGTGTCGTCTTTTCTTATTGTACACATAAACAACGAACTATTTCTCAGATTATTTCGTGGGACAAAAAGTGGATTTTGCACGACAACCAACAATTACCAGCTCAGTAGATGGACCTAGAAGAAGTCCCAAAGCTAAACTTGCACCAAAAAAAGGTCATGGTCACTGTTTGGTGGCCTGCTGCCAGTCTGATCCACTACAGCTTTCTGAACCCCAGCGAAACCATTACATCAGAGAAGTATGCTCAGCAAATGGATGAGATGCACTGAAAACTGCAAAGACTGCAGCCATGACAACACTAGACAACACTAGATGTATAGGCAATTCTGCAGTTACAAACAAGATGGATACATAGTCTGCTTCCTTTAGCCTAGAGAAGTCTCGGGTCTGTTTCCACTCAGTCACCATCTAATTCTTACCAGAGCCATTCACAGACACAAGTGTGAGCACATATCAGTCAGGACCTGCATAAAGGCCTGCGGAGGTGGAACGGGAAAGCCACACCCTTGAAAGGCACTCTTCTCCATGACAACACTAGACCACCCATCGCACAACCAACACTTTAAAAGTTGAACAAATTGGGCTATGAAGTTTTGCCTCATCCACCATATTCACTTGACCTCTCACCCACTGACTACCGATTCCACAGCATTTTGCAGGGAAAATGCTTCCAAAGCCGGCAGGATGCAGAAAATGCTTTCCAAGAGTTCATCGAATCCAGAAACATGGATTTTTATGCTGCAGGAAGAAACAAACATTTCTCGTTGGCAAAAATGTGTTGATTGTAATGGTTCTCATTTTGATTAATAAAGATGTGTTTGAGCATAGTTATAAGATTTAAATTTATGATCTGAAACCGCAATTACTTTTGCACCAACCTAATATTTAATTTGATAATTAAACTTGCTATTAAAAACATGCTCATGCCACTTTCTGTCTGAAACTTTGTTTCACCTCCCTTTGCAGAATAAAGTCCCCCTGCCCCCGCTGCTGTGGTCCCACAGTGACTTAAAAAATTGTTCTCTTTCTATAGCAATTGTTCACAGCACAGATATTACAAACGGCCTGAGATCAATCCCAGCTTCGAGATAAACCTGGTATGCATGCCTGTGGGCCAATATCTCAATTCTTTGACTCTGTTTCTTCTGTAAAATAGGAAAATAATAGTTCTTAAGGTACCGTATAGAATACTATATTGAATATATAGAAATGTATGTAGAGAGGAAATAGAATTATGTGAAATAATGTTTTCCTATGGAACTATCACATCCTCATCAAGTTGTTATGATGATTAAACGTGTTAACACCACAAAAATCCTTAAACAGTGTTGGTACATGGAGAACACTGGCTATTCTCAGCTTTTGTTCTACTTGATATTTTGTGCTATGTGATTTATATACACATCATTTTTACTTCTCAGAATAATCCTGTGTGTGGACATATATACATGTAAGTGTGTGTGTATACACATATATAATCAATTTTAAGAGATAAATTAAGATTAGAAAATTAATTCTTGGGAAAGTTAAATGTTGCAATGTACCCAAGGTAACCTAGCTAAAAACTGACCCAGGTAAGAATCTAACTGAAGTGACTGCCTCTCAAGGTTGTGGCTTTCCTGCTCCACCTCCCCAGGCCCTTATTCAGGTCCTGACTGATGTGTGCTCACACTTGTGTCTGTGGGCCATTCCCAGGCTGGCAGAACTGCATGCTGTTGCATCCGCAGCACTAGGGCTCCTCCCCTGTTTAAGAACTTGATGCATTTTCTTATAGGCAATTCTACAGTTACATACAAGATGGATACGTAGTCTACTTCCATTAGCCTAGAGAAGTCTTGTGTTCATTTCCACTCAGTCACCATCTAATTCTTACCAGAGCCATTCACAGTTACATTTCTTATTACCATAAATTAGTTTTATCTTGAATTGCATGAGTGAAATTTCACTCTTTTGTACGTGACTCCTTTACCTCAGCATAACATCCCTGACATCTTTCTATACTGTCGTGTGTATCAGCAGCTTACCATCTTTTGATCCATTGTTTGATAGACCACAATTGTTCCTTCCTTCTGTTGGGACTTTTAGTTATTCTGTTTTGGCAGTTATGAAAAAGGCTGCTATTAATATTCATTCCTGAAAAAAATATTTTTGTGGGCAGATGTTTTCATTTGTTGTGAATAAATTGCTAAGGCAATTTATATGTAACCTTATGAGTTAGTTCATATGTAACTTTATAAGAAAATTGTTGTAATGTAAGTCATCTTTGTTGCATTCCCCTCTTCCTTGTCTCACTTCCCTGTTTCCATGCATCCTTCCCATGTATACTACTTGTACTGAGATATTTGTCTCAGTGTCTACTCTAAGCTTTTAGTAATTTTTAAACCATGTTTGTGATATCCCTTTTCTCTGAAATTCTATATTTTAAAATTTAATTATATGTAGTTTTACTCCTTTATTTTTTCTATTTGAACTTTACCTGCCTCCTCAGTTTAATTTTTCATATATTTTACCCATTCTATAATTACCTTAAAATACA
This sequence comes from Homo sapiens, assembly GCF_000001405.40. Lineage (NCBI taxonomy): Eukaryota > Metazoa > Chordata > Mammalia > Primates > Hominidae > Homo > Homo sapiens. The sequence goes on along the minus strand of NC_000007.14, from coordinate 49,276,909 downwards.
TAAGATACTTCTACTTCCATCTCCTCCAGCTTGGAGCTTTCCTATCTTTGTCCTTTACCCATTACTGATGATTTCTGATAGAATTCTTAACCTTGTCTACTACCTCACTAATTTTATTTCAGCCAAAATATTTTGCTATTTAACTCATAGTCTGAGCACTTTATTTTGATGTTTATATTTATCCAACTCTGTGTCTCTACTTGGTTCTTTTTTTACATAGCTGCTTGGTTTTTCCTCTGTTTCCCTGAGAACATTACTTACATAATGTTAAAGTTTTAATTTTTTCTATTGGATTGGTTTATTTACTTTCAATTTGTCTTTTTTTTTATATATATATACTATCATTTGCATTCCAACATATCAAGACTTTCTCCAGTGTTTCATTTTATTTATTTTTCTTTTTTTAAGAGATGAAGTCTCATTCTGTTGCCCAGACTGGAGTGCAGTGGTATCATCATGGCTCACTGCAGCCTTGAACTCCTGGGCTCAAGTGATCCTCCTGCCTCAGCCTCCCGGGTAGCTGGGACTACAGGTGTTTGCCACACTAGCTATTTTTTTTTCTTTTGTAAAGATGGGATCTTGCTATGTCACCCAGGCCAGTTTTTATTTTATTTTTTAAAAATTTTCCTATGTTCTCCAGACTGCATGAATCCATCCCTCTCCCATAATAGTATTGTGATAGGGGATCATTTACCTTGGTTAAATCCCCAGTATGCCATTAATTAGCTGTGTTACTAGGACAGTTTCTTCAATATCAGTAAGCTTTGATTAGTGACTCTGTAAAATGAAGGCAATACTACAACCTACTTTATACAGTTCTTTGGGATATTAACTGAGACGATACATGTGCGATGATATAAGTATACCGTATGCAAATAACTATTTTTAAAATGTGGTTGTTATTGCGATGCTGTTCATGACTCTGAATCTTGACTTTCTGAACTATTAGAAAAGCCTCTGAAGGAAGTGATCTTCCCAGGTAATATTTGGTTAAACACAGACATTGTTTTAAAATTATGATATTCACTCTATTCTCTTAGTAGTTTTGGTGGCCTACAAATGATGAATTAACAATTGAAGCAGAGAGGCAAGATTTACGAGCATATTGAATGAATCCAAATATGTATTAGAATTGTTAACGAGGGTGTTGATTGTAAATAGAAGAAGTTGCAAATATAGGAATTAAAAATTAATTCTGCACATGCTGCAAAATACAGCAATGTGCACCAGTGAAGATGATGTAACGAAAGAAGAGCACAGGGCATGCAGAGGAAATTAAGCAGAGTTTGGTAAAAGTGGAATCTATTTTGATAAATTCAGAAACTATTCCTTGGCAAATTCACTGATGGACCCACCAGCTGCTTATTGAGAAATAACTTCAATAGTATTTCCCAAACTGACTTCCCAGGAAATAACTCCACTCACATCATGTGCTTCATAAAAAAATATGTATTTCCAAAGGGAAAATTCTGCAGACAATATTTCAATCTAGGAGACTGACTCTTGCACATTACAACATTACATGCTTGTACGTGTATGATTAAAATATTATAAACACTTCCAGCTTCTTTAGCTCAGCATTTCTCAAATGTGTTTCATCACCAACACATTTATTAAGTAATTAAATTATTTTAATATGATAGAATACCAATGTCCTCAGGAAGACGCTTTGGAAAAGCAGAAACAGTCTAGATGCTCACCAACCAATTGCCTCTTCCTGGGAGGACAGAAAAATTACAGCTTGAGCCTGTGTGTTAGGTTGGGCCATCTGAATATGTTTTGGACAGTGGTGTGTAAGTTAACGTGAGGTAGTCTGCTATATTTAATGGGTCATTGAGAGTATCTCCAACTTCAGTTGATGAAAATTTAATGAAGGATCAGATACAGAGATGTGGGCAAGACTAGGAAATGAACAGGTGTTGGAGAAACATCCAGGGGATAAGATGAGCAGGGAACCATTATTACCTGCATCTCATGGTCACCCACTGAGGGTGCCAATCCATACTGGATATAAGGTGAATGAGATATAAATTTTGCTGTATTAAGCTACTGAGATTTTTTTTATTTTTACATCAGCTAACGTTAATTGCCTTGATTAATGTACTAATCAAGAAGTTTGTCACTGATTCCTGACAAACAGCCTTTGCAATTATTATATATATATGTATTTTAAACAGGTCTATAATAATGTGTATATTAATTTCTTTCAGTAGCACAAACTTCTCCTGTCATATTCCTAACACCTCCAAGAGTTAAGATAAATACCTCGCTAAATACAGGCCCATCCAGAGATGGTGGCCAAAGTGAGAGCACCAACTAAACGTTATCCTATTTGAGAGCTGCCTTAGCCAGATATATTTCTGCCTAGAAGAGTTATATGTTACAAGGGCAATTGCTAAAGCATGAATGCAAATTTTATGACAATAATACTGGATAGATGCTGCTTATTAAATACAGCACAGTTGTATTTAATAAGAAGATAAACTAGTGAGTTAACTATTGCATACCGTCATTTCAAATTAATAATATCTCAGTGTCATTTAGTGAATGAAATAGTGTGGATGGAACTGCGTTTGCAGAAAATTAACAAAAACAACAAAAACAAATCTTAGCATTTTTTGACCATCTGTGATTATGCAGGTACTACACTGATGTAAAATTTGCAAGTGCCCAATAAATTCAAGTCCTGAGGGTTAAAACAGTAAAATGACTTACCCGTGAGCAAACTAAAGGATACATATGCACATTTATCTAGCCTTACAGCTCACATTTTTTCCTCTGCAGCATACTGCCCACTGCCTTAGCTACCCTTGATATATTGCTCATATGTGGTAGAGATTGGCTTGCCTAGCACAGTGCTTTCCTGCATAGTATTTCTTGTTTGAGTTTTATTGTGCATTCAGAACAATTCCTCCCTGAGTGTTGCTCAATGAAATATTTATAACATTGCAGCCCATTAAATAAACAAGTGATGCCATTCTGGGCTTATTTGTCTGCCCTCAGCAAACCTTTTAGTTCTACAAAGTTCATTCCTTAGAAGACCTTATAAGACCCAGAGAATGGGATTGCTGTGACAGTGCCCTTTCTTTTCTCCTCAATCTTGATTTACATCATGCTTTATATTAGTTAAAGCTAAATAAAAGAACAGAAAGTAACATTACATCCATGTGAGCTGCATATATAATTACATTTTGCCGTATTTGATCTAGACAGTTCTTAAGAAGTAAAACCATAGATACATATAAAGTTTTCCTTAAAAGCCAACCTCAAAATTATCTCTCTGTGGAGAAAATAACAAAGTCAAAATTGTAGTTTTTAACTGCATTAATATTCATAAATATTATCTTATTAAAAGTGCATTTAAAAATCATATCTATGGTAGCATGTTATACAAATCCTTCTGTGTTTTTAAAATCCAAATTATTTATTTAAGTTCGTTACATGTTGATGTAAATTGATCTAACTCATTAAATTTAGCTACTGCTTATAATTCCATACTAAGGAAAAATTTCTAGGGATTTGGGCTTGTGCATGTGGATGAATAATATGACCATTAACTGTGAAGGGAAAATATGGGGGTAAGAAAAGAGTGTGCAGGTGGAGATCGGAGTTTATTTGGATGTCTTTTATATCTTTATTAGATATACAAAAAGAGACTAGAGTAGGTAGCTGGATCTGGGAGTCTGGAGCTGAGGGGAACAGCAGGATCTGAGTTATAAGGGAGAAATGCATTAGCATGGAAATGGAATCTAAAGCAAGAGGACTGTAAGGTCCAGGGAGTAATTATAGATAAAGCACAAAAGAGGTCCAGGCGTTAAAGGCTTGGAAAATCTAACATTTAGAGCTTAACAAGAGGAGAAGAATTCAGCAAAGGAGATGGTGAAGGAGTGGGCTTCAAGGTGGGTGAAGAATTTGCACAGGTGCTCATGACTCAGTATATATCTGGGACCCTGGTGTATGTCACGTTGCCTGTAGTATCATCCCTGTGCCTGTTCAGTAGGGTCTAAATTATTATAGTTTCACTGTCAATCCTGAAATCTCCTTCTTTTTATGTGACCAAATCCCTCTTCCTTACTATACTTCACAATTGCTTTAGCCATTTTTCATAACTTTTATGAAGTCATTTTGTCTCTTTTGATTCAATTTTCCTATGATGTTCCTTATATTTTTCACAGCTCTGTTTCACTGTCTTGCACTCTGATGACTGACCTGCCATTTGCAGATGATTGTATAGCTTTCCTCACTGCTGGACCATCTTTGGGTTCCCTGAGGGCAAATTATGATAATGTTCTCATGCTTTGGGCACTACTATATCCTGAATCACAGTGTATAGAGGGTACTAAGAGGTCTAAATGCAATGTTCATGGCATTATGTGGCCATTGAAAAGAAGATTTAATCTCTTCATAATAACCTTCCATTGGGATCGCAAAAAAGTATTTCACTGCTCCCTTGTTGATTATAAAATAATGTTCTTTGAATAGTTCATACCTATAAAATAATTTTTTAGAAACAGAAGATAATACATCCAAGAATTTTAACTAGAATTATGTCTTTTCTGAATTTATAGCCTCCTTTTGCTATTATTTTTTTCCTCCTGTAACTACTTTCAATTTATGTGTTTGTTAAATTTTCAGGGGCTTCTATGAGGCATTGATAGTTTGTTGATAGAAATTAATAAATGCAATGTCTAGGCCGTAGTTTTATTAAACTTAATTTTATTTTTAGGATTTTTAATTTGAATAAAACAATTCTAGATCATAAACACAAAATAATATCTCAAAACATCACTGCCAGATAAATATAAAATGAGAACATGATATTATGAAGAAAAATATTTTTTTAATCAACTGATTAAAAATTCCTGAAAAGATTCAAAGGTGAATAAAACATTAAAAGCACATCCACAAACTATAAAACAATCATTTTTCATGATGGGTGTTCACATGTTCTGAAGTGTTAGATTTTAGGGAGACTAGTTATCAGGGAACTAAATCTTTAAACAGACTCAATTTTGGGAGAATTGACTTTCAATGAATTAGTTTAAATGCGAACATGTCATAGTACCACAGGAATCTGAAAGAAAACAACATGTGATATGATATTTGGTTCTGCCAACTACCACTCACATCCACGGTCTTCTGAAACTCCAGTGGTGAGAAATACTGTAGTCAACCGAAACATTGCTCTTTTGCCTTCAAAAGGAGTCAATATATTTAAACTGAGAAGCACATAATCTCTAATGTACATTATCTCAATTATGATATTGGCCAAAAAGAAAAGTGCTTCATTGCGAATGAAAACAGAGTAGTTATACGCACAAATACAGCAGTTTAAAGGAAGGAGATTGCTGGGGGGATGGAAGTCAGTTTCAAAACCAATTATGTCAGATATATGGAAAATGAAATGCCATCTTTTTATGAAACATGGCCAAAGGACCTCCAAGTCTCAGACCTCTGGGCTGGGAGTCTGGTATGCCATGCCACTGTATGGTTGAGAAAGAACATTTCTGCCTTCGGATCCCTCAAAACATGGGTGTTAACATTTTAAATCCATATTTTTCTTTCAAACGCATCAAAAATTACCTTAATAAGGCTATGGTTAAGAACTGGGGAGAGTCAACAAACATTAATTGCAAAAGTCAGTATTAACTTTTATTTCAGAAATGGAGTAACTGAAGAACAGGTGAATTAAAAAATTAAGACTCACTACAAATTTGTATCATCAGCAAGATTAAAGAGGATGATGCACTTGTTTAAATAATACAGGTTCTCAACTGCAGGCAACATCTAGAGATATATTTGCATGTATGTTTGGGGGACCACTACCGGCATCTAATGATTTGAGGCCGACGATGCTGCTAAACATCCTGCAGTGCACCGGACAGCCGCCACAGCAAAGAATTACCCAGCTCCAATGTCAACAGCATGGGAGATGGGACACCCCGCTCTGTCCCTCCACAAGGACCGGTGAAATGGAATGATTTTCCTTCAAAAAACACCAAATGCAAAAGTCAGTATTAACACTCATTTCAGAAATGGAGTAGCTGAAGAACAGATGAATTAAAAAATTAAGACTCCCTACAAATTTGTATCATCAGCAAGATTAAAGAGGATGCCACATTTGTTCAAAAAAAAAGAGCAGAGATGTCTGAAAGGAATGCTAAAAGATGATAAACAGATTCAGAAAGTGTTCTTAGGAAAAACAACAACAACAACAACAACAAAATAAAAACAACAACAAAATAACAACAACAACAACTACTACCATCACATAGGTGATCATCAATGAAATGACATACTAGCAGCATGGATAGCCAGATTGGATGTGAAGAAATTCTAACCAGTATATGAAAATAAATGAACTTGCCAGTGAATATTAAAGAAAATTACAAAAGTATAACAACGTGAGACAAAACAGGCATGGTAGAGAGATATATACTCTATCTCTCTCGCTACACACACACAAAACACACACACACATATACACATTTATGAGGAAAGCTTTTACATCATAAAATGAAATACTGAAGAGAAAATTTTTAAGCTTTAGATAAAAGAGACAACATATTACTAGTTGAAATTAATTATTTTGAAAAAAGAAGCTTTCAAATTCTATATCATTCATGAAATAATCAAAAGAGTTACTCCACAAATGGAAAATAATTGGACATCTTCAATGACACATTTGTGGCAAAGAGACATTTCCAGGATAACAATTAAATCTGCTCCATCTGGTGGTTGTGACAATTAATAAGAAAATACATGTAAAATGCCTTGCCCAGTGCCTGTCCAATGACCAGGTTTTGGATTATTGAAAAGAATTGTTGATGTTTTGGTTAGAAAGTTATTGAGACTCTAAGGGCTTTGGACTTTACCCCAAAGTCAATGAGGTTTTACTGGATCTCTTTGATTCTGGGAGTGACAGAATTATTTCATTATTTTGAAAAATCACTCAGGCAGTGGAATTAAAAAAGAGAAAATTTAAGCTTGCAGGAGACTAATTGGAAAGCTTTTTAGGGAAGAAAGAAAACTGTTTATGAGATCTTTAACCACATTTGTCCAGTGAAGATGGAGAGGAGGGTGTAAATGTAAGAGACTTCAGAAATGTAAGCATTAGGACATGACAAATAATTTAAGGTGCAGGGGTGGCATTTGGGAACAGCATTTGCTTTATGTTCTTAATGTTTTAAACTATTTTTTTGTGAAAAAAATAAATATATGTGGTATCTAAGGAAAGAACATTTTGTCTTCAACTAGAACGTAGTATGAATGAGCTTCACCTTGTGTTCATACTTAGACATTTATTAAAATTGCCACAAGGAATATTTAATGTGCTTGTTTAAAAATTATGTGTTAGGGATAGAGAGGCAAAAAGAAATCTCCTTCATCTTTTTTTTTATTAATTTTAATTTTATTTTTGAGAAAGGGTCTCACTGTCACCCAGGCTAGAGTGCAGTGGCGCAATCACAGCTCACTGCAAGCTCTGCCTCCCTCCCAGTCTCAGGAGGTCTTCCCACATCAGCCTCCCAAGTAGCTGGGGTCACAGGTGCATGCCACTATGCCAGGCTAATTTTTGTATTTTTTTTTTTTTTTTTTTTTTTTTTTGTAGAGACAAGGTTTTACAATGTTTCCTGGGCTGATCTCAAACTCCTGACTGAGCTCAGGCAATTCTATCACCTCAGCCTCCCAAAGTGCTGGGATTATAGGCATGAGCCAGGGCACCCAGCCGCCCCTTCATCTTTTTAAAGTATGGATATTTTTTCAAAAGGATATTGGGGCAAACTAATACATAGACACATTTTAAATGCACAATATTAGACATTGGATTGGAAGGAAGTATAGTCAGTTATAGTCATGTGTAGGGGAATGACCCTTAGGAAGTGTGAAAGGGATACCTAGAAATTGCATGTAATCTGCATGCTGAGAATGGATAGAAATTTAGGAGGCAAAGCTGAGGGGAGAAGCGAGTCCAGGGGGATGAAACCCCAGGGACAAGACAGAGTGGCTTGGAACCATTGGAGTTTGCAAAACAAATTACCTTCATACCAAATTCTAAAAGGCTCCACTGATCAATGGCCACATGTGATTTTTGAACTGAAGAAAATGAGGTAGCTATTTTTTTGTATTGTTAATAAAGATGATGATTTACAGCAACTCACTCAGCACCATTTCCAAATAGGAAGTAAGATACTGGTGATGCTTTATTTCTTGTTTTCTAAGAAATGTTTTGCTGACACTATGATTAGGTGGTGAGAATGATGATGATGACGGTGATGATGGTAGTGGTTCTGGTAGTAATAATACAAAGTAATCCATATTGAGTAGCTCTAGATAAAAGTCACTGTTCTTAACTCCTCACTTAACCCTGAAAATAAAAGCACATGTTAACCGTTTCTTATCGTAAAGGAGATTGAACTGCATCTGTACCTATCCCAAAAAATAAAATGGAATTATTATTTTTCAGCTAGAATTTCTTTGGTGAATTTTCCAACTACTTTTCCAAACAATGGAATTTGATGTCATGCATCAAAATTCTAATTAACAGTATTGATTACTTTTTAAAATGTCATTTTATGAAGTAGTAAAATGGGTAAATTAGTGGCCATTTCATAGCACATATGTAAAATTCCTTTAGCTACTTGAATGGCTTCCAGAAATATTACAGACAAAATTGCTTTTCCTCAGAATTACTGTTATTTTATTTTGTTTCTCAAATCTGGTAATATTTATTTTCATTGGATCTAGAAGTTTCAGATGAGCAAATTATTTTCGTGTGAACATTTTCAATTCCTATTCCATGGCTATATTTTAGTCTACTTGAGCCAGAGTCCCTTTTAAAAAACTTTTATTAACAGTGTCCACTTCTAGTATGTTCCCTGTTCAATCTCCTGTGTCTTATGAGCTCTGAGGGTGGATTATTCACAAGACTGACTTTAGGTATTTGCCTTAGGCTATATTTTATTTCCTATCTTAAATCAACCTAATGTGGTGAGGAAAGAATATTATTAAATTAATGCCAATGCTACCTGGAGGTATGGCTACATTTTTTTATTTTGAAGATTTGCCTTAAGGTCAGTGATAATTAACTCAGATATTTTAATACACAAATTCAAGCATAGGCGCTATGCCATGCAGTCTTGTGGGTATATTGCATACATTGCAACTATGAGTCTATTCTTTCCGAGTATGTATAGAAAAATCCTTGTGATTAAAAAATAATTATCTGTAATTTATTTGGTCATGTTTCACCTTTACTTTTAAAAGATAAACTAAAAATTTGACTAAAAGTACAGCTCATGCTTATGATGTAAGAGTCTGTGTGTGTACGAATTTGCGTGTGTGTATGCTGTACAAGAGGTACACACCTCTGTGTTTGGAGAACCTTTGCTTAAAAGCTAATTATAATGTTCCTAAGAAATAAACTTTGTTGTGATAAAGTGTCTGAGACTTGGAACTTATTTATTTATTTATTTATTTATTTATTTATTTATGTTTTTGAGATGTAATCTTGCTCTGTTGCCCAGGCTGGAGTGCAGTGGAGCGATCTCAGCTCACTGCTACCTCCACCTCCTGGGTTCAAGCGATCCTCCTGCCTCAGCCTCCCTCATAGCTGAGATCACTCCTTGCTAATTTTGTTGTATTTTTAGTAGACACAGAGTTTCACCATGTTGGCCAGGCTGCTCTCAAACTCCTGACCTCAAGGGATCTGCCCACCTCACCCTCCTAAAGTGCTGGGAATGCAGGCATGAGCCACCATGCCCAGTGGAACTTACTTTTCTATTGTAATATACCTTAGATTATCCTGACTAATAGACATACCACATAGGGTTACAGACATAATTTATTAAGTTATATATTATTATATGCTTAGAGAAATATCTGACACATGGAATATGCTTAATAAATGTTAGCTATTGTTATTTGTACTCTTCTTATTTTTATTTTCTAGTAAAGAGTCTGCAATATAGTCTTTCACTGACAATTGTGTGTTACACCAATGAATTAACTAATAAAAGAATGATAATTCAACTCATTACTAAGGGTATCAAGGTTCTGGTAGGAAAGATAAGTCACACTCAATAGATGTCAGGGAGGGTTCAATGAAGGAAATCTTTACCAAGGTAAGGATAAGGTCATGGGAAACCAATAAGAAATGATGAAATATCCATAGACAAGCTGCAAAAGAAATCTTCGTGCCTCATGGCTGAAGGGCAAAGGCAACAGGTCATTAGTAGAATGAAGCAAGAGTTCCAGCTGTAAACAGTAACTACCTTTCAAGAGCTGTGGCTTTTTGTAGAAGTGAGAAGACATTGCTAAGTTTCCTACTGGCAGGGAGGTTGCTGGTGAAATAAATACTCCAAACTCTCTTTCCTCCTCCTCCAGTCTCCTGTAGATGCTTAACTGGAGGCCAAGGAACCTTATATGATGCAGCCCCTAAGTATCAGCCTATAGCCCACAATGCCAAGTGCGGCTCTGAAGGAGTAAACCAAGAACGTGCCACACAATAAAGGACATAGGCTGAAACCTCAGACATACACGCACACACACACACACACACACACACACACACACACACACACACAGTTTTGACTTTCAGCACTACGGCCCCATGGAATTCTGATTTCTTTACCCTAAATTCAGAGAATATCTTTTTTATGGAGAGAAGAGGCAAGCAAAGATGAAATCAAAGTCCTTCAAAAGAAAGAGAATAATTTTCCCTAAGATTTGATTCAATTGCCTAAGTTCATTCCACTCAAAATGCCCCACCGTACCTTAGACCATGTTAGAAAAGAAGTATTTCTCCTGTAGGAAACATCCTGTAACCCTTTTTCTGCATTATTTTATTGTGTTATGAGGAAGAAGAAATTATAAAAGGAATAGAACAGATCAGACAAAGTCAATCATTTTATTTATTTCCATGATAACAGCTAAAACTACCACCAAATAATTTTACTGATTAATATATTTGCTTTCAACTTACTGCTTTTTGGTGTTAAATAAATTTTGGCTTTCTAGTCCCCATTAATATTTTGCTAATATTGGTGGTGGTGTCTTTTTCTCTCACTCCTATATTTTGATTATACTTTATCTCACTTAAATTTTTATTATAACTTAAAACTGACACTTTTTAATTATTTGATTATTTGAGTTTTCATTCATCCTAGTTCCTTTTTCTCCTATATGTTCTATTTGTGGTTTTTGTTAGTTTTGTTTGTTTTTAGTGATTGTAAATTTCTACCCCACAAACAATTATTTCAAAATTTTACTGTTATCTTTGTGGCCAAACATTTTTATTTGCCTTTTCCATTATATGAAAATGTCGTACCATTTTTTTCTGAAAATAACACAGCTTCATGTCACGAATTCAAACTATTTTGAAAAAAATGAATAAAGTAGAATTTGGCCATTTCTTTTCTAAGTCATCCCTATCTATGGCTCTTCCTCATTCTCCTTCTTCTCTTCCAGTCTGCTGCTCCACAAATCATGTGCTATCCCATCTAGGAAGAGGAGTGTAGGAGAGATTCCAAGCTTTCACAAAAGACAATATATAGTTTTTATCTAAATTACACAAATCATTAACTAACTTCTGTTAAAGATAATTTATCACTTTGAATCTTATTTTTCTCATCAGTTAAAATGGAGAAAACATTATCTAGTTAGGTTCCTGTGTGGATTACAATTGAAAATAGCAGGGTAATTTGCAGTTTAAATCTTTTTTTTCTTCACTTTCTCACTGAGGAGTTTTACAGAAGAATGATTGAGAAGGTGGGATATAAAATTTAACTTTCAGCGGATGAATGTGAAATAATAGGCTAGTACTTCATGGAAGTAGGTCTGCTCTGTTCAGAGATGTGTGGGTGAAATGGTCTTGTTTTTACTAAACCATTAGGTGAGACTTATTCTGGGGTGAGTCATATAAAGGGCAATGGGAATCCGTGAGTTTGATTCTTGCTCGTGAAACCAGAGCACAAAGAAAAAGCATAGACCTTTCCTTACTGGCCAAGGAATCTCCATGGAGGACAGGGCCAATGGCCTGACACCAGCCTTGCCGATATTGCCAGGGTCTTTTATGAGTGCAGTGACATCAGCTATTGTCCACATCTACACACAGGAAAAGACTTCAGAGGAAGTCTGTAGTGCAAATCCTCCTGGTCACAGAGGGCTGACTCCAGCGGAGGTCAAAGCTGTGCCAGGATGCTCCCACTCTGGCCCTGGAGCAGATTAGCATGCCAGTGTACAGGATATCGTTCACATTGACTAGAAGAGATTAAATGCTTTGAGCTTGTTTTTAAAAGGGAAAGTTATTTGGGGGGAAATTCAGAATAATTATGCTGACTCAACCTCAAATGCCAACACTGAAGAAAAATAGTTTAATCTACTCTTGCAATAGAATTTTGCTAGTGGAAGGCACGGGCACAGGAAATAGGCAGAAATATTCTGAGATTTCTATTTACAGGAGGTTTGGCAGGAGCAAAGGAGAGAATATATTGCTTGAAATGTGCTTACTGGATTTTTTTTCTGTAACAACTCACTGGAAGTAGGAAGTACTTACGGAGATTTTCAAAGCCAAATAATGTCACTGTAAGAAGTACTCTGTAATGAGCAGTATGAAACCACATTCCAAAATTATTTTTAACCCCAAACAGACCTTTATGTTAAAACAGCTTGATTGGAACTTAGTAATACATTATTAGAGTAAGAAAAAACCCAGCAGTCTCATTGGATATGATTGTATTTTTTCCACAGTGAGAAAGACTCATTGTCAAGTTTGAGTTAAGTATCAATATCAGAAATCTAAGGACATTTCCCTATCAATAAATTCTTAAGCATATTTTTACTGAACATCTGCAATATACTCAACATTATGCTAAGTGAAATGGATGGTAGAGGAGAAGTATAAGGCAAGGCTCACATCTTTGTGCAGGCTTCGGTCCTTTTGAGAGGAACAAATCAAAGATATTTGGCATACCAGGGATTTTGTGTTCTATTAAAGTCAGTCATTAAATACTTCTTTATATGGATCAGATTGGCATAGTAGGACAGATCAGTGGGAAATTAGGCAACACACCACCAGGTAAAAACTTACCATCAAAGTATTAAAGTCTTAACGAGTGAAATAAAGAATGAACTTTCTAACTTTTTATTACATTATGATGTCTTGCAATATCTCTACTGGACTCAGTATATTTTCCATTTGATTGGAGCTTTTGGTTCAGGATTAAGCTTCTGAAAATAAAAGCTTAGGTTAGATTTCCCCCATCAACTAGCATAATGCCAAGGCCATAAAATGACAATAGTTGTTTATTGGCTGAATTAATACTTATATTACGTTTGCTTTAGCCAATTAATTAGAATTCATATTCAATCTCTGATATTAGGGAAGGAAGTGAGTAACAATTATGTGTTCAAGTCCAGTGGACATGGGTACCCTTGCAAAAGCATTGTAACTTTCTATCTATTGGAATACCCGGTATGGTTGAGGGGTCAAAGCCTTGAATAATGAAGCAGTGGCACCATAGTGCTACTGGATTCCCCATATTTTTTATTTAAAATCCAAGGTGGGATAAAGCTGATAATATGATGCTGATTCTAGATAGGAACTGGAGCAGACCTAGAATTTCACTTAGTCCCCAATTCATTCTTTGATGAGAGGTGAAGGGAAGAGAGGTGAAGGGAAGAGATGTGGGAGTGACAGGTCAAGAGCTTATGCTTTACTCTGACCATCTCTGAAAGATGAACATCCTCATGGGGCAAAGGATTTTTAAATATTCTCTATAGTTCTTCAGTGATGTAAAGGGTCCTGCTGTTGCAATAAACCCCATCCCTCATCCCAAGCCTCAACCTTAACCTGATGTCATGACAGCTAAGTACCTTATGTGTCCCAGGAGTCCGAAAGGAAAGACCGGTGTTGAAAAGTCATTGAATAGAATCTTCCCCAAGAAGCAATGGAATTGAACAAGGATGCTGAATCCATTCCCAGACTTTTTTGAGGAAAACAGAGATCAGGAACACCAGGATGTGTGTAGTCTGCTAAAATCAATTTTCTCCTACTTCACAGATTTCCCTTTTTTACAACATCATGAATATGCTGAAGTTAATTACCCTTTCACTTAACTCTGTCTCCTCAATAGAAATTGCAATTTGATCTATAACACATTCAGATAACAGCTGATGTTTGTGGTTTCTTTTTTTTTTTAATTAAAGTTCATTTTAAGAGAGTTCTTCAGTAGAAACCAGAAAAAAATATACAATAAAAGGCAATCTTAGGCCAAGGAAAATAAAAATCTTAGATAAAATCTAAGATAAAATTCTTAGTCATAGGATTTACCAACCAAAATGGACAAACAAGTCAACACATTACAATTAACAATGGGCACAATGGACACACATTCCATCTAGCTCTCTTTAGTGTGACCTGTGGATCTCAAGCCTCCCCAAATCCCTGTCCAAGTTAGGAAGAAGTCCTGGCATCTCAAACTAAGCTTCTTAAAGCCTTAATGCTGTTACCTACATGGCCCACAGCCTGCATCAGCAGTTCCAGACCATCCTCCCCACCTAATGTGAAGGCCTGTATAGCTTCCAGTCCAGTGATTCCCTAAGCTTTAGGGCATTGCTCTCCCAAGTTCCCCCACTGCTGTGAAGACGTGGCATTTTGAGGGCTGATTCTGGGACAGAAACATTGAGTTCAGTATTAAGTAGGGGCAAGGCATGGCTGGGCCTTCACCCAGCTGGGCCTCTTCTCCCCACCTCCTGCCTGAACGACACCAGAACCGTCACCCCCGGAGAAGCCCTGCGGTGGTACTTCCCTGGTATTGCTGGGGGTGCCGCTGCAGGTGCTGCACATTCTTTGCCCAGAGACATCATGCTTAGTTTCTTTCATTCTCTGTCATGATTTTTCCCTTTCTGTTGCCCCTCTGTTTATTCTTGTCTTCTAGTAATTCATATTTCCTTAAGCAGGTATAGTTCAAAGGAGAGGAAACACTCTGACCTTTTGCTATGTTCCTGTTTTTATAAGTCTCCCGCATTTACTATCCAGAGAACGGTCAACAGCTGAGCTGTGGGGAGACCTGCTGTGGTCCCAGTGCCTGTGTGGGTGCCGTGTGCCTCAGTGCCTAGCACTCTGGGCCTCCTGGCTCCCAGCGCCTGGCTTCATGCTCAGCCTCCAACCTGCACTGCCCATATCAGGGGCTCAGGGGCCAACAGCTCCCAAAATTTTCCTCTCCTCTTGTCTATCGCTTGCAGAGAGCCAACTTTGACTTTCAGGATTTCTAATTACAATGACACAAAGCTCTAAAACAAACAAATAAAAATTAAAGCAAGAAAAGGTCTCTGGTCCCACTGATGTCGGCTACACACGCTGACCCAACTGAGTCACTGGGACAGGAGGTGATAGAGAGGGTATCACCTCATGACCAAGCCACTCCAATAATTATCATGTTACCAAGACAATAGGAGGCTGTTCCCATTGACGGGCAGCTAGGCAGAGAAGCGTAACGCAGGCAACTCTTCATTTTGGTTTTCAGTAGCCACAATTTCTAATACAATTATGTTAATTGCACTCTCCTACAGAACAACCCCGTACCAAAAAAGAAACAAATATTATAAATTGTGTATCAGAGTATTTTTAATATAGCTAAATACATATCTGAACATAATAAATCAAATTAGAGGATTCTGCTAAGTTTTTCTCAAAAGACTCAATTGCAGGGTGAAAATAAAATGGGCTTTTTCTTACTCACTTCATGTGAAAGTAAACTGATTCACACGTTTAATTGGGGCAATACAGGTGCCTAGATAAATTCCCAGCTTATTAGTCAGTGTATGTAGCATGTAAATAGTCTCCCCTCTTACAAGCAACCCTGAAAACTGCAACTGTTACTGTCTGGTCTTCATCACCCATTGCAAAATAATACTTCTAATTGCTCTGCTAAAACTTTTTATATAGGCAGAAGGCACTCAGTCTCACAATACAGAGAAAAGCATTAGAAAATGAAGCATGAAGTAAAATATCTGTCCACAACTAGCTCTCTTAAGAAATTCATAAATTATTCAAACAGGCAAATACCCAATCTAACTAGAACACTTAATGACATACTTTTATCTGGCTCATGCCCACATACTGTGCACTCAGCTGTAACTGTCCTTAATTGTGAAGTAACTGTCCTTAATTGTGAAAACATGATAAAATCTGGAATTCCTTGCTGCTACAGGCGCATTTTACTGCCTGCGAGGGTTTGCATAGGTGATAACAGATCTTCTTGTGTTTAGGTGAGACTATTTGCATCTCACAATCAAGAATTTCCCACAATTCTTGATCCTTCTCAAGCCTATTGTGATTTGGTGCCATTCCTCTTTTCTTCCTTTTTTCTTTTTTTTTTTTGAGAAGGAGTCCCATACCGTCGCCCAGGCTGGAGTGCAGTGGCATGATCATGGCTCAATGCGACCTCCGCCTCCCAGGTTCAAGCTATTCTCCTTGCTTCAACTTCCTGAATAGCTGGGATTACAGGTGCCCGCCACCATGTCCAGGTAATTTTTTTTTGTATTTTTAGCAGAGACGGGGTTTCACTAAGTTGGCCAGGCTGATCTCAAATTCCTGACCTCATGATCCGCCTGCCTCGGCCTCTCAAAGTGCTGGGATTAAAGGCATGAGCCACTGCACCTGCCCCTCTTGCCTTATTAAAAATAAAGATGTATCTGCTGACATATGAGGAGGAGGAAAATGGTGTTAGCCCCAAACTTACAAAATGCAGTTCTGTATGTTTCATAAGCAGAATAAATTAACACATTCATATATATCCCCCATGCAATCTTTTTGCCACGAAACAAATCCTAGGATGGTATTGTTGTGGAATGGAGCTGGGCCAGGAAACAGCCAGATGAGCAGGATGTCCTCAGACCATGTCTGAGTGAGATTCCTCACTGCCACCTTGACAGTGTCCTGGCCAAAGGATGCTTGCAGAGCCCTGCAAATGCCTCGGTAGGGGACCTCTGTAGACCTTCCATCTTCTTTATGCTGTAGAAAAACATGGTGAGCTCTATAAGCCGCCATGATGGTCAGAAATAGGAGACAGTCAAGGTAAATAAACATCAAGTTTCAAATGACAAAAGCAGATCCTGAAAGAGAAATTAAACTTTTCAGCAATGGTGCAATCAGATGAAAGCAAAAGCAATGCTGGCTAAGAAACAAAAAGAAAAAAATATTCCAGAATTCAGGGTGAATACTATTGTATGCCAGCCTCGTTTTGTAGGAAATATAAAAACCAAGAACAGCATTGACATAAAATTGTCACCTTTAGATCAAGCATTAATAGATTGGGACAATATTCCAGAAGAGATTATGAAATTGGAAAGAAAAGTGACTTCTACAAAAATTCTGTAGGAACAAGTTCCATGTCACAAGTGCAAGTATGCAATCAGAGGCAAGAAAATTGTAGTATGCATGATGACTTGGAAGATGGTGAAAATGTCCTGTCCCCAATCCCTCTTGCCAGTTTAAAGGTGCCATTTAATCTTATCTTGAGCGTAATATAGTGAAGGCTGGCTTTCGCAACCGACACCATTTCAGTGAATGCATATACAAAGGTTCAAGGACTAGATACTAAAGGCATGCCCAAACTTGAAGAGAGAAGACAACGTCTTACCAAATATCTGTATTCATTCACTAGACTGTCAACTAATAGCTATGGGAAGAAGAGAGAAATAGATCTTACATGCTGTTCCTTACAGCTACTAGATGATAATTAGATAGTCACATGGAAGCTAAATATTATAAGTATTCTTATAAAGGTCTTAAATTTATTTGTGCATATATTTGAGGGTAAAGATACAACAAAAAACAAAGGTGGAATATAGTTATTGCAAAACCTAGAAGAAATAATGATTTGCAAGTGGCTGTGTTAACGTTAAAAGCTTAACCAGCTTGGTTTTCAGTGAAGCAAGTAAAATACCAGACATGGGATTTAAACCTCAAATAATATATTTTATTAAATGTGTATCCAGTCTGGCTGATATTCATGATTTCTGCAAGCTGGAAAGATCCTATCTACTTGCATGATCTTATTTTAAAGATCTTACTATTTGAATATGTTGATACATGAGATCTAATTGTTCTAAATACAGTTAATCAAAATGTAATTGTCTCCACTAAAAAAGAGAGAAAAGTCTCTTATCCAAGTCTTTCTAGACTGAATATCTAGAATATCTTTCAAATCAGCACTTTTGTTCATCTGTAGAAAAGTGATTGCTGATGACTTACCAAAAGGCCTGAAAATTCAAGTCTCCGTACAGCAGCAAGAGAAGAGAATGAGTGAGCGGTAGTGGACTGTCAAACAGGTAGAGCACCAATTCTGATTGCTACTGGTTTAGCATCCTGACATCTTGCTATTTATGACAGCGGGGCATTATCAAACTTTGTGTTTCGTCTTTGTTTGTAAGGTTAGCTTGTTTTGTTTTGCCTTGTTGTTTGTTTTGTCTTTGCAGGTGGACTCATTTCTAGATGATACATATGGTTACATAGTAGTCTTTCTAGTGTATATTAATAGTTAAATATAATTAAATAATGGAAGACAGCAACAAACGACGAAAATTGCTTTGAAGCTCCATGATGTATTGAGGCTTTGTGAGGATACATAATAAAAACTTGAGGAATTTATCAGAAATATTTTTAAATCTTGCAAAAGTAGTCACTTGTGGATTACCTTACACAAGTTATGTGACTTCTCTGAGCATTGTTTTCTCATCCCTAATATATGAATATTAATAATAACCATATGAAACAATTCCAATAACTGATTATAAAGTACTTTGCAAAATACCTGGAACATAAAGAGATGTCCATTGATTATGGGTTCCCTTTTCTCTCATTTTCCTCATCACAATTTCTTCAGTATCATACAAATTGTCAAACTAACCCATTTAAAATCTTTTATCACATGAGAACTCAAAAACAAAAATGTTAAAGAAGGCTGGGCGCGGTGGCTCACGCCTGTAATCCCAGCACTTTGGGAGGCCAAGGTGGGCGGATCACGAGGTCAGGAGATCGAGATCATCCTGGCTAACACGGTGGAACCCCATCTCTACTAAAAATACAAAAAATTAGCCAGGCATGGTGGTGGGCACCTGTAGTCCCAGCTACTCAGGAGGCTGAGGCAGGAGAATGGCGTGAACCCAGGAGGGGAAGCTGGCAGTGTGAGCCGAGATTGCGCCACTGCACTCTAGCCTGGGCAACAGAGCGAGACTCTGTCTCAAAAAAAAAAAAAGTGTTAAAGAAAAATCGCCATTCATTAGTTTCTGATTGGTGATACATCCTTATTCACAAAGTGCATTCATATACAGATGACTGTGCACACACATGTCTGTTGTATGTACGTAGTTTCTCTTTATGAGATTGGTGAATACACAAAGAAGAACAACTTGGAGGAAAAACACAGTAGGACAGAGGAAGCTTTAACTCTGCTTTTATTTTATTTTATTTATTTTATTTTATTTTATTTTATTTTATTTTATTTTATTTTATTTTATTTTAAGATAGAGTCTTGCTCTATTGCCCAGGCTGCAGTGCAGTGGCATGATCTCGGCTCACTGCAACCTCCACCTCCTGGGTTCAAGCAATTCTCCTGCCTCAGCCTCCCAAGTAACTGGGATTATAGGCGCCCTCCACCACGCCCAGTTAATTTTTGTATTTTTAGTGGAGAAGGGGTTTCACCATCTTGGCCAGGCTGGTCTTGAACTCCTGATGTTGTGATCCACCCACCTCGGCCTCCCAAAGTGCTGGGATTACAAGCATGAGCCACCGCACCCAGCCCTAACTCTGCTTTTAATGGACGCTTTCTGAGTAGCTTAAATGACATTTTTAAAATTTAGGAGGGCTGCACATTATGAAGTTGACACTGCATAAGTCATGCCTACTGGGAAAATTTTGAAGTTTGTTTCTCATGGATGAACAGTTCTTCAGCCTCATTGTGTTAACATCGATGAAAAATACACATGCCACAGCCTTTATTACCACTTAATTCTGGACTATCTGGTCAGATCTCAGGTCATTGGTATCAGAGAAGCTCTACATAAAAATCTTACACATTCTCACAGTAGCAGTTTATTAAAATGATTCTTCATTTTGCATAATTATTTAACTACTTTCCACACATCTTGAAGTTTAATATACAGACCAAAAAAGGCATATTTTACATCTTTCTTTTTCATTTATTTTACGTACTTTTTCTCTATATTATGACTGTGATAAGCATTACTTACTATTGAATCAATCACACGTTGCTCTGTAATAATGCAAAAGTTTTTGTTTGTTTCAGTGGTTATTAAATTTTGCTATGTACTATTTTACTATTTGCTAGTAATAATACTACAGTCATGTGCCACTTAACTATGAGGACAAATTCTGAGAAATACATCATTAAATTATTTCATCATTGCATGAACATCATAGCGTATACTGACACAAACATAGTTGAGATAGTCTACTGTACATTTCAGCTATGCGGTATAGCCTACTGCTTCTAGGCTACAAACCTGTTCAGCATGTTATTGTACTGAATACTGTAGGCAATCATAATACCCATGTTAAGTATTTGCGCATCCAAACATGTAAAGTACATTAAAAATATGGTATTATTTCTTATGGGACACCATTGTATATGGAATTCATTATTGACTGAAATGTTATTTTTGTATTTACTACTATTATTATTATATAATACATAATATAGCATTATATTACTATGTAATATTCAATATTATAAATTATAGCTATTAGTTATTATATAATATTTCAATAAAATGATGTTTTAGAAATTTAATTTTCTCAGAATGATGAATGGCTTGGATGAGATCTCACAGGTAGATGATAACAAAATTAAGACAAAAACCTAGGTCTCTACTCTCTTAACTTTAATCTTCAGAATAAATATGTCATTTGAAAGAAAATCAATGTTTTCAATTTATTTTTTAGTACCAAAGTAAATGGATATTTATTAAGTAAATCTGAAGTTTAAACTAATCTCAAATATTTAAACTATATAAAACAAACAGGAATTAAAGAATTCTTTAATAAAAGAAAATGTTTAAATGAACAAACTTTCACAAGACTTGTCTTAAATAAGAAATCAAAGCTGATCTTGTGTTCTATTTACTCAGTATGTCATGGAAACAATAAACATCTGTATTCTTAAATAAAAGACCCACCAGGAAATTAACATATATAAATCAAAAGCAAAATTTCTGTCAAAACAAAAACACACACAAAGAAACCTCTCCAGGATTCAACGCACTCTCTCTCCAGCCTTTAAGTGGATCTGTTCTAGACAAGGAGCTGCACCACATGACTTCTTCAGAAGTGCTAGAGCTGCCAGTGTACGAACACTTTCCAGAAATCCTTGAACCTTCTAGATCTTCTGGTACAATTAAGTGGCAGAAATTTCAGACACAAATTTCAAATAACACTGTATCTAGGACAGACTTTTTCAAAATCACTCCAGCACCTGAGGGAAACCCTCAGCTCTGTCACAAGCTATGTGATTTGATGAAATCATCTTATTTCTTTAGGAGTATAGTGATCTACAATGGAAACATAATAGTTTCTACTTGGCGGGGTTAGTTATAAGGAGAGTGAGACAGAATGAGTAAATCAGCTGACTCATAGAGGATGCTTAATGTATCACAGTTACGTTTCCAGATGGGTTGAAGTTTAACAGGACATACCATTTTTTCTTGATGTAGAAGAATGTAAATTACTGAGGTGGAAGACGTAAATGACTCCTAAGCTCTTCATGGCAAAGACATCATTATTTGGGTTAAGTGTAAGCCAGGGCAAAATTTTGTTTTATTTATTGTTGCCTTCTTAACTTCAAGGTCAGCTTCTGACCTACACTAGGTTTTCA
Organism: Homo sapiens; assembly: GCF_000001405.40. Classification (NCBI taxonomy): domain Eukaryota; kingdom Metazoa; phylum Chordata; class Mammalia; order Primates; family Hominidae; genus Homo; species Homo sapiens. The sequence continues at coordinate 49,255,016 of NC_000007.14, read as the reverse complement.
ATAAACAGTTGGTGAGTAAATGACTACTCTTTACTCTCTTCTCATCAATATTATTTTCTAGAGGAATGTCATTTTGTAGTGCTTCAAATCTCCCTTTTTAGACATTAAAATCTAGGAATGCTATACTTCTGTTCTTTAGCCTGACGTTTATCTTACCTGGAAATAAAAAACCTGCTTTGCAGCAAACACATTTGCTCTTTCCAAGGCAAATTAGCCTTCTTATTAGACTAGGTAAAACATGATTTAAGGAGCTGGAACAACAGCAGGGCGTATTTTCCTTCTGGAACATGTTATCTTGAATGATTTCCCCTATAAATTATCATTTCAAATACTAGATGAAGATGCAACTCCTGGAAGTATATAAAAAAACACAATAAAATAAATCACAACTAAGCTTAAAAGCATTTTTGAAAGCAGGAATTAAAATGAAGTATAGATTCTTCACCAGAAGCAAAGAATAATCTAGGGATATTTGCATTCTGTGCATTTGTACTAGATTAATTTTATATATTAGATGTGGCATAGTCTACTTATCACTGTCACTAATATTAAAACAACAATACAACAATGTCAGATGGCTGAATAACCTAGTAAAATGAGCAAAGGGAAAATTTAAGAAAAAAGGTTTGAGATTAGGTCTCTAATACTGGAACCAATAGTAATACAGGTTCCAGTATGACTATTTGGGGGATTAGGCAAATATTATAGAATAAGAGAATCCAACACAGGTCTTTAATCATTTTCTTTACAGAGAAGATGCAATTTAGAAAAACCAAAGGCAGGAATCACACCTGACATTCTTAGTTCCTGAGAGTAAATTATGTTGTCTTACTTGGTTGGACTCTGTCATTCTTTTTGTCCCCAGTTCCTCATCTCCCCCTTTGCCAGAATAAATTATATCTTTGACAAATGCCGAACATCAGTTCAGCAGACAGTAACTAGAACAATTGGCACAGACAAACACAGAAAGGCCCAGAGAGTGCAAATATTCCATATGTCCCATGGATAGTTAATGGCCACAGGAGGGCTGAGAGCCTTCAGCCAGCACTGAGGTACCTGGGAGAATGGCTGTCCTCTTGAACTTATCTCCCTCTTGCCTGAATCTCTCAGTGATGAATGTTGAGGAACCCGGCCTGAGGTAGAACTTGTGCTTCGATATTAGGCCGTAACGTTTGCCGTTAACAGTCAGTTTCAGCCAGAAACTGTGAGCCAGATTAGTGGGTGGGTCTGTTCAGAACCTTCTCCCTTCACTTTTTCTGTTGACAGTGCAATGACAAAATCAGATGTCAGATCTAAAATTAAATGCCATGCCATGATAAGAAAGGCCTTACTTATTTTCTCAAACCATCTGTATTAAAGTAAAGCTGTTTGGGGATTTTTTTGTTGTTGTTATTGTTTTTAATTTTATTTTTGCTTTTATTTCCCATCTATTTTGGACTGATAATTTATAAAATACAATACAAAGGAATTAGTGGAATAATAAAAAGAATTTTCTTTTAAAATAATAATAATAAAAAACCCTAAAGACAGGGCCAGGCACGGTGGCTCATGCCTGTAATCCCAGCACTTTGGGAGGCCGCGGCAGACGGATTGCAAGGTCAAGAGTTCAAGACAAGCCTGACCAATATGGTGAAACTCCGTCTCTATTAAAAATACAAAAATTAGGCGGGTGTGGTGGCACGCACCTGTAGTCCCAGCTACTCAGGAAGCTGAGACAGGAGAATCGCTTGAAATCGGGAGATGGAGGTTGCAGTCATCCGAGATCACGCCACTGCACTTCAGCCTGGGTGACAGAGAATCCATCTCAAAACAAACAAACAAATAAACACCTAAAGACATACAAATGATGTTATAACTTTATGACTTTACTTAATAAAAATACATTTACTTTTAATTAAGTGTAATTCAGCCAAACAAAACATAGAGAAACAAAAAGAATTACAAGTATGCAGCTCGTTCCTTGACAGTTACGCTTATAGGTGGTCAATATAGAGAAGTGTATACATACTTGTAACATTTTATCATTGTTCGATAGTAACTAAAAACTTATAATAGAAATTTTCTTTCCCATATTGATTCATACATGTAAATTTTTAACAAACACTGATATTTAAAGTTTCTATATGACCCATGAACATCTTTCTTGTTTGTTAATCCATCTAGTCAAGGTAAAATACACAACATGCTATTAACAAAAAGTAATATACCTATAAACCTTTTTATGTTTTTTGTTCTTTTGATTGGCGCAAAAACCTCTACATGGTCTTTCAGAAGTTTGTTGAAAGGAATGGAAAAGTTAATAAAATTTAAAGCAACTTCTGTAAGCAAAAGACCTTTAAAAAAAAACTTTTTACCCAAAATAAAGCAAAGTACGCTAAAATTTCATAATTCATTTTCAATGCATTAGTAGCTAGTTCAAACAAATTGTCCTGGTAAAATCATACTTAAATTTAAATTATCCTTCAATGAAAGAAATGAGTTCTACATCCTTAAATTTCTTGTCCTTGGATCCTCTTTTGATAACAAATATTTTTCAAAGGAGTCTATCAGATTCATAGTGTTTATTAACAATTTCTCATAGATATGCAACATAAAGATCATCACAGAGTTCATCTAAAATTTTTGTTAAATTACAAAACATGTCATGACAATCTGTAGAAATTCTGTTCTTCAAAGCTTTTTAGTTTTGCTCTTTGATCTTATTTTCCATTGAAAACCATGTTCTATCTTGGCACAGATATATTGAGGTCATCAAAGATGTCAAGGATATCAGAAAATATCTTGCAATCCCATCTACTTATTTATACTTCTTTCTTATAGAAACACTGATAACCTGTTGTATAATTCAAGCATTCTTGAAATTGTTCCCAGTGATAACTATCAGGGTTTAACATTCAATATTTATTTAAACCAGTTTCTATGTTATCAGATCACAATAAGAAAAATCTAAAATTCCAGGCACCAGACTTTATAAAATTTACAAATTTTACTGTGGCACTGTGCACACTCTTTAGTTCAGCTTCTTTTGTCATGAATGGCAAAACTTTCTCAATGAAAATCTCCCCGTGTTGATTTACATTTTGACACAGCTCCATAATCTGATTGACCACCTACAATATTTTCTTTTCTATATATCCATGTCATTTGAACATATGCTACATAATACTTAAACTCCAAAACCCATTTGATAACAAAGTGATATTTTGTTGCTTTAGCTCATTGAGAATTGGATGTATTTTTCAGAATCAAAGCTGGGAAAAAGGTTTCCTTCATTTCACCATCATGTTCAAATAATACATACCAAAAGAACAGCCATGGTAGCAGTATCTATGCTTCAGTAGGATGTCCTGAATGTGCATGGCCACCCAGCTTTTCTAAACAAGCATCTCTGATACAGTTTTTGGCAATAATGATTTGGCAATTGTACATGCTTAGCAACTACATTATAGATAAAATGCTATGTATGGGAATCTCTAATGCACCAATGTTTAGACGTCAGATATTGAACAACTGCTCTGTTAACTTTTTAATGTAATGCTCTTTCTTTCAGATAAATTTTTGGTTAAAGGCTCATTTATTTATGCTGTGCTTTTAAATGTTGTTTATGGTTTGATAGTTCATTTCTTTACTAGCCAGTGTATCTCCAAAAGTAACACACTCCAGTGTTTGCACTTGACCCTCGATTATGGCTTTATAACAACACTCAAGTCCTGAGAAATCATATTGACAAATAAAACTAGGAAGAACAGCAAATTAAAAAAAACATAAACTTACCTCATTAAAAGTGAATAATTAAACTGAAGGAACATACGTAAGTAACCTTGCAAAACAGGTTTTGGGCTTGAATACTCTGAGTCTAAAGACAAAAAGAACTACACAGAAATACTGTATCCAGTAAATTTATCTCCTAAAAAGGCATAGGTTAGTATTCTGAAGCTATGTGTGTGCTAGGATTGAACAAATCAGTAAATATGTTGGAGATGATGAATCACATTTTTTACACATTTTTTACTGTTAGAGAAAGAAGTTACAGATATGGAAAAGGGAAGATTCATGTGAGCCCTGCGTTATGGGAATGGAATCAGAGGTATCAGTGTGAAAGCACAGAGAGAGAAAGTAGAAATAACTAAAGATCAATGCATGTGTGTGGGTTAGAGACCCAATGTAAAGGGAAAATCGATCTTATTCACAGGCCTTGCTCACATTCAAGGGGATGGAGTTGTATACATGTGTACACCAGGAGATGCCTTAAAAGTCAAAGGATAACTACAGAAAACCCTGAGTTATCATACTTAATGATAAACTATGAATCACTTGCTCCTTGAATTCAGAAATGAGACAAGAATTCTTATTAAGGTCACCTAATTTAAACATTTTTTTGGAGGTCCTGGTTAGTGCTACAAGAGAAGAAATTGAAATTAGGTTTTAAGAATTTTAAATTAAGAAATAAAAATGTTACTATAATTGTAATTCCCTTAAATATTTATGGGTAAGCTATGAGAATAAACATGAAATTAGCAATGTCTCTAGATACAATATTATTGGATACCAGCAATTATAAAATAACTTTTAAATTCTATCACTTACAATGGCATCAAGAAACATCACACAGATAGAAGCAAATCTAAACAAATATACAGGATTCTTACACAAAATATATTATTATATATTATTATGTATTTTATTCTATAAAGTATTTTATATTATATATAAAATGATATTTAAATATTATAATGCATATATTTTATATTTATTATATATTATATTAATGTTAACATATTTGTAAGATATTCCATATTATATATTATATATTATTGTAGATATTATAAAATATATTATTATATGTAATTATATATCATTACTATATTTAAAGGCCTAAATTGAAACATATATAATTTTTGTAAACTGAAAGATCAATATTACAAAAAATTAATTCTCTCTTATTAATTTATACTTTCAGTTAAATCCTAATGAAAAGCTATGTAAACATTTGTGTGTGTGTGCATGTGTACATGTAAAATGAAAAGCTGATTCTAAAATCATATGAAAGTGCAAAGAACCAAAAACCAAAAATTGTCAAACCCAAGCTAAAGAACAATGCTTGGGTGCCTACAATCCTTATTACCAAGATGTATTACAAAGTGACATTTATCAAAGTGGTGTTATATTAGATCATGGATAGGAAATACACTAATAGATTCATGAGTCCAGAAACAGATCCACCCACTGGACATTTTTATTAATGGCATATGTGACACTTGAGAGCAGAAGAGGGAGAGTCCGTTTAGTAAATGGTGGTGGATCAAGTGGATAATCATGTAAAAAATATTTAAACATTTACCTCTATACCTAAATCAATTACATGGAGAAGATAAATGTAAATATTTTCTAAACAACAAGGTTTCTAGAAGATTACTTAGAAGAATATCATCTTGATCCTGAGACAAACCTTTTTAGGAAAAAAATAACTGTAAAGGAAATTACTGACAAATCGCAGCATATGAAAATCAAGGATTTGTGTTCATCAATAGACACTATTGAAAGGAACAGGCAAACCATGGATTAGCAGAAGATATTTGCCTTAGATATAATGAAAAAGTGCTTTTATCAGAAGTATAAAATGAAGTACTTCACAACAATAATTAAATGACATATATCCCAAGAGAGGCAATAGGCAACAGACTTGAACAAGCAATTCATAAAAGGACAGAGGAGAGAATACTAAGAGAACGAACAAACGAATAAACACCTCTTTCATAAACAGAGACATTTAACCAAAATAAAATACTATGACACACCATCTGAATGGTGAACACGAGAATGAATGGCAAGACCTAGTTGCTGCTGAGCATGTGTAAAAATAGGAAATTAGATACACAATTGCTGGCATTCGTGTTACTTAGTGCAACCAATTTGGAAATCTATTGAGAATTATCTGCCAAGTGGAGCATACGTGTATCATATGATGGAGCTATTGCACTACTAGTTTGTATTCTAATACAGAAGTGTTAACAGTCTGTAATTCAATAAAAACTATACTTAAGTCTGGAAATCATTAGTTCTGTAATTCACTCATTTTCTTCTTGGATCAACCAAGGAAATGCTGACTTAGAACAGACAACCTTGTGGATATGGTAGTAGTATTTGGCTAGCACATAAATTACTGACCAAGACTTTTCAATTTAAAAATTACTTCTATCAGCATATGCTTGGTATGTCAAGACAGGTTGATTTTAACTAAACATGGAATTTATAAATTCATGGTATAAAATTTATACAACAAGCAAATCTATGGATAGAAGTTAGTCACATAATCCCTTTATCCCTGTGTGACTAATGAAGCATCTTAGCTCTAAATGGCTTCTACTGCACTGGCATGTAGCGCTGACTTTATTAGCTCTTGTCTCTTATTCTAAAACAACAATGAGCTCCAGTTCCGAAAAGGAGAGAACGTGAAAGATTTTGCAGACTATTTTGAGCATGTATGCCAAACAAGAAATGCCAAACCCTGGACTGCATGTTTGCTTGTAGTCTTTGAATCATTAATAAAGTTTGAGATTGGGAAAAATTATAATGTCTGTGAATTTGCTTTGACGTTTCAACCACTTGTAGAGACCACACAGATTATTGCCTATGGTGAGATTATTTATCAGGCCCACAAATTAGGGGCAAAGTCACTTTTTGGTTAAAAGTGTGAGGAGTAGACAACAGTATGATGAGAATCTGATGCTAAAAATGCCTCCCATGCGTCGTTGCTGTGAGGTGGTGCAGAAGCTTGTGGCCGGGACAATTCATCACTAATGGAATTTAAAAGACATAGAGAGTGAGAGTAAGAGGTCTGGTTCAGTGGACAGAGAGAGAATTTCAAGAAGAGGGCATGTTAGCAAATACTATTCACTAAATGCTGTTAGCCTGGTTTAAAACAACAACAACAAACTAAATCTAAAGGAGGAAATTAGGCAGAAACTAAATCTAAAGAAGGGCAATGGAAGTAAAAGAAGAAAGACCAGTTCTTCTCATCTCAGGAAGGCATGGCCTTGCTTCTGTGGCTATTCACTTGCAAAGTAACTCACAACCAGTGATCACCCCCAAAGAATACGAAGTATCCAGGGCTATGGCCACATTACCACAGAACGCAGAGATTATTCAGTGAAAGAGCTGGCTATTTTCTGAGAAATATCAGCAAAAACCTATGCACTCGTGCCATAATGGATTCTCAGAATAGAAACCAGGGTAGGGGGATGGGGATTGGGATATCCAAGTCTATAAACCAGTAAGTGGAAGAGATAATTTGGATTTATTAAAGATTTCCAAGTTGACACAAACTTTTCCAAATGGTATAGCAACTTAGTTGAAAAATAGATAAAGATAGTAGAACTTAGCTCACTTGCCCTGAGAAGAAGCCATCAGGACTAACAAATGGATTACTCCTTCTGAAATAGTAGGGATGTTAACAGTGCTGGCAGGAAACCTGATGTTTGTTCTTTGACCATCTGAGAGACACAGTCATTTAAGGCCATTGACACAGACCATGGCAAAGGCTGTTATACAAGGATCACCTCAGTTTTTGAGTATCTTATGTAACCTTGCTCCTTTGAGGGCCATCAAAACATTCAGTAGTCAGTAATTGGTAATTGTAATCTGATAACTCGGCTACCATTCACGAGGGGAAATGATGAGAGAATTGTGCTATCGAAAAGAAAGATGGCACCTTAGCTGGGCATGGTGGTGTGCATCTGTAATCCCAGCTACTCAGGAAGCTGAGGCATGAGAATTTCTTGAACCTAGGAGGCAGATGTTTCATTGAGCAGAGATTTTGCCACTGTATACCAGCCTGGGAAATAGAACGAGACTCTGTCTCAAAAATAATATAAAAAATTAAAGAAAAAAAAAAAGGTAGCACCAACAGAAAACATGTTCCAAAATGTGGGAAAGAAAAAACCAGCTTAAATAGATGAAGTGGTTTACATGACTTCTGAAAAATAATATAAAAAAGAGAGCATGATTTTCTGATTCCACTTAAACAAACTGTCTAGAATAGGCAAATTCATCGAGATGAATAGCAGAATAGAGGTTACTAAGAAGCTGTCAAAAAGGAAAAATAGGAAGTTATTGCTTAAAGGGTAGAGAGTTTGTGCTTGGGATGATGAAATCTTCTGGAACCAGTAGTAATGGTTGGTAACACAATATTGTGAATGTACTTACTGCTACTACTTTGTATACTTAAAAGGGTTAAAATGATATATGTTATGTGTATTTTACTGCAAGCAAAAATTAGAGGAGAAAATGAAGAAAATGATTGGGATTTTTGCTGCAGAAATGATAGTAATTACATACAGTGGGGGATGGAGAGGGAGAAGGAGGTGTAAATACTAAATATGACACATCTGTTAAAGATGTAAATACCGAACATGCTACTTGCTTCATATAACTCAATCTGAGTGAATTTGTGTCAACTTACGGGAGTCATAATTTAAAATGAGAATATTTGAAGAAGGGCTAGAATGTTTTCCTTCAGTTTAATTCATGGAATCTTAAAATAACTGGCAGAAGACCTGGGAACTGCTTGTCTAAGCCTTGTTGGGGGTTCCAAGGTCAGTTACAACGATGTGCATACAATGACCCAATTGTGGTAAGAAATATTTTTGGGGATCACTAACACAGGTACAGGGATGTCCATGCACTATAAATAGCCCTAATGTGAAATCTGTAGGGTACAAAAGTGGGGTTGAAGGCAGTAAGGTTATGGTTTAACTGCAAAATGGAAAATGAACTGCAGGTGTGGTTGTTTTGCTGTTTCCTGAAAACATAACTGAAATGAATGTTATGGAGCTCTGTCGCTATAGTTCTATCAACATGGATGACAAGGTAAACCCTTCACCCAGTCCATGGGGACATGTGTAATGGACCAGGCTTTCTTCTGTGGAAAAGCTAAGCAATATAGAATTCCTACTTGGAAACAAGAAACCACTTCTCTAATGAAGAAAATGGTTTGAAATAGGATACTTGCTTTTTACTAATTCCATATTATCAAACCCATTTTGGCTGGGATCAAGGTAGAGGACTTCTTGAGACTGACAGTTGAATACTGATGAAGAAATGCTACAGCATGTGAGACTGCTTCAGCCATGTGCCCAATATGATAAACATTACATAACAAATGCAATAGGCCAAGGCTAACTGAGGTCCAGAGTAAACTTAGATAATTGTTGCTTTTTTCATCCTATTTTGGAACCAGCCAAGCACAATTTGCATTCATGTAGACTTATCTGCAATCCACTTTTACAACTTTGTCAGAGATATTGAAATACACCAGCATCCTGTCAGAGACTGTGGGGAGATGTGGTTTTGGTAGCTAACTGTTAAACATAAGTTGGTGTGCTTCACTGATTTGTTGCTATAATTGCCTCCTTGGAGAAAAAAAAAGCAGGTGGATTTAAAAACTGCAGCCAACCATGTGACAAATAGAAGCTGGATAATAGACCCAGCTAAAACTAAATGTCCAGTTTAGTCTGAGAAATTTTGTGAATCTCCTGAGGTAAAACAGCCAGGGACAGCATTCAAACTGTATGAAATAAATGATAATTTTACTAATCTATCTCTGAAGAGGAAGCCAGGAGATTCCTAGGCTTGTTTGGGTTTGAGCACAGCCACATCTGCCTCACAGGAATCCTACTGGGTCCTTTTCGCAAAGACACAAGGAAGAAATACAAATTTACATTGAGCCCAGAGAAGGTATAACAATCAATGTTTACAATGGGGCTGCTGAGGAGGCAGTGTAGCTGGGATGTAAATATTCAATCACCCAGATACTCTTTGAAGCATCTGCAACTAGAATGCATGCAGACTTGCGCCTCAGGCAGAAAAACAATACTGCTACTCAGCAGTGTTGAAGAAATTGGAAGACTATTTCTAGCTTGCTCCTGGATGTTACGAGAGAATGTTTCTATCATAGAAAAGCTTCCAGATAATCTTGAGATTAGAAATGCCTATCAGCTCAGAGAAATGTTTGCATACAGATGGTAAGGCTCAGTAGAGCTCCTTGATGCAGAAGAAATGGTATATTAAAAATTCCAGACATGGAAAGCATGAAGAGTCTGCCTCATACATGAACAGGGAGATTGGTGCTTCTGGAGACAATGATAGAGCCCTCCAAAGATGTTTGTGACCCAACTACCAGCTAGTAGGAAGCTATAATTCTTTTCAGGTGAGACAAAACAGCTTGTTTGTTTCACAAATGAATTTCTGGAATGAGGATCACGTTGCCTTTTAGAAATCACCCAGCAGAGGTGCATTCTTTCCTCTGGGGGAGGAAGGTAGTGGTAAATCTGCACAGCAGGTGGGCTGAGAACCATGCATTCAGTGGCAGAAGGCAAAGGGGAATTATAAATTCATGGGAGTATTTTCTTCTTTATAGATGCTTAAGTCAGGAGGCTTCAGACTTTCCATTGTGATCAGGGCCCTAGAAGATCATATGATAAAGTACACCCAAAGTAAATTCTATGAGAATTTTGAAGAAAAATTAAGGTGGATTATGGTTATGCCAGTTCAGAAGGGAATTAGAATGATACGGCAGATACCTTAGTCAAATCTTACAACTAGGTTCATTAAGTGAACACGCATGTGTAAGCTCAAACAGTGCAGAGATGGAACAAATAAGGGCATAGTCATGTTGTATATATTGAAACAACGTAGAAAGAAGTTGAACTCAATATCAGTAGACAATAAATTGTCTGAGAACAGCTTTAGGTGGAACTTCCCAAAGGACTAAGAACTGTGCATAGCGGGCAGGAGAATTCAGTTGAACATAGATGTGTGTGTGTGTTGGTGGCTGGGGAAGGGGGCACTCAGCCAAAGTGTGTTGTTGGAAATTGATGCTTGCTCTAATCTACACTTTGCTTATTCTGCAGCAGAAACAGAAGCAACCATAGAAAATATAAAAATGAGAACATATAAAGTTTGTAGTAGTCATTGTTCAGTCAACTGGACTAACAAGTACATTTCCTCTCATCAAGGTATTCACATCACTGCTACTAATGTACCAAAATGGGCAAGAAAACACAATAAACATATTACATCATTTATTAACCCTAGAGAAGTAGTTTTATGAACATTGGAGATGGGATTTAAAACAGATGGTGAGAAAGAATTGAGTAGCTTGCTAAATTGACTAAACATATATGTTCTCAGACTGAAAGAAGAGCTCAACATTGTATCTTTTCCATCTCTTCTTTCTTTTTTCCTTGATCCGTTCTTTTTTCAGTAGATCCATTCAAGGCTATTTTTAATGTGTGCCAGTGGAGGGCGTTATTGAGGCATCAAACATGATGTCTACACCATTATAAAACCCTACCACTGAATTTAACTGGATATATTCTTATTATTGATAATAATTCTCACTCCATGCAGCTAAATTAAGATTACCTACAATTCTTTACTTTCAGATACTGTAATGTTTTCCTGAAAATAAATCAAGCAAAAATGATGGCATAATTGATGTTACTCTTCTTGAGTAAGCAGTATTATCAAACTTTTACACATGTAAACAAAAGTTGTAAGAATTTTAAAAAGGAAATCAAAACTTTGATGTTCACAAGTGACATTTTGTAAATATAAGAAATTCTAAAGTCTATAACGGAGTAAGAAGTCACCAGATATTCTCACTAGTAAACCAAATAAGATAACTGTTTTTAACATCAATAGCTTCTATATATCAGCAACAAAAAAGTTAGATAACTTAAGGAAAAAATTAGAAATACATTTGAGGTAGCAACCAAAAATATTAGGTGACTAGAAGTAAATCTAAATATTATATAAATTATTCTACAGAGATACTTGGAGTATTGTGTTTAATGACATTAAAGTAAAGCTGAATAATAGAATATATAACATAGTCATGAATAGGAAAACTCAGTACCATGAAGTACTTCTGTTCAAATTTATAGCTAGAGTCAATACCATGTTAATAAAAATTATAACAAATTTCTTCATGAAAGGTGAAAAGATGATTCTAAAATGTATACAGAGGAGTAAAGGGTAAACATTCCTGAAGAAAAAGATGATTAAGGAGGAAAAATAGAAAAACAAAATCACAAACGAAGAGGGAGAAGGGGAAGAAGAGGAAAGAAAATGAGAAAAAGAAAAGCAACATGCAATGATGATGACAACGTGACAGAATCCTGCTTTACCATATGTAAAGATTTACCATAAATTCACAGTAATTCTAACAGTCAAGAATTGGTGCACTAATAGTCAAATCAGTGGAACTAGTGGCAGACCTATGAATAATAGCAATAAATTAGAAGATGTTTTCAATTCTGCTTGAATTCATAAACAATTCTGAAACAAAACAAAATAAAAAACATGCAACGCAACACACACATACACATACATACACACACACACACAATACTGGACAAAATAACTGAATCAGTTTTCTGAGGAAAAAAGAAATCCCAATTGTCAAATAAATATCTGAAAAGCACTCAATCTCATTGAAAGTCAAGGAATTATGAATGAAAATTAAAACAAGATAACATTTCAAATAAGTTAAAATAGCAAACACTGTGGAACAAAAGAGATACTTATATCTTATGGACAGGATGGGTAAAAGATACAGCTGCTTTAGAAAACATTTTGTTACTATTTTCTGTTGCTGAAGCCAGACATACCCATCTTGGTTCCTGGTATGTGGCAATGCCATTCTTTCAATGCCTAAACCTTGAAGCCTTCTTTAACTGCTCTTTTTCTCCTTCAAATCTGACCACTTTTTACTACCATAGCTTCCATCACCCCAATTCATGTTGCCCTCATCTCTTGCCCAAATTATTAAAATATCTTCCTAGCCATTCCTGCAGCTCCTGGCTTGGACTCCTCCCTTCTTCCATCATCCTGAATGTTTCACCATAGCAGCCATGGTTATATTGCTAAAATATATGTGCTTAAATGCCTCTACTTCAATCTTTTTAAATCGGACTAAATGTCAAATTCTAAAAGTCCTTTCCCAATCTACCCCCAGCTTAAGTCTTGGAAGTCAACTCCTACTTCTATGCTAGAACACAAAATTTAAGCTTCTGCATGAAGCACTTGTTCTTCCTGTCAGTGGTCTTCACTCTAAGTGTCCCCTACAATGACTGCTTTGTTATTTACTCCAGTGCCATCTTCTTCATGAGATCCTCTATGATTACCATCTAAAAGGGACTAATCACTCTCCCAACATTGTTTCAAACCCTGCATATTCATGCTATTGCATTTTTTCTCATATTATCATCATCATCTAATAAATTATATTTGTGCTAATCGCTAGGGCTGCTTGCAAATATTTGATTATTATCTTACTACCAGGTGCATGGTAGGAGTTTATTGTCCCCTGCTACTATGACTGTCTTTGGCAATGAGGTGGGAGAGGCAGCAATAAATGTTGATTCTATGCAGAACCTTGAAAAGCCTGCATGAATTTCGCTGCATTCTTTTTTCCCTTCTCCTCAGTACCTGGCACGTTCCAGAGAATGACATTTTGAACATCTTGGATCCCAAAATGAGAAAGATGACAATGTGGAGAAAGCTCCCTAGCAATCTTTGAAGAACAAATAATGTGGAACATATAATATAAAGAGCATGTAACATGATTAAGATACAATATTTTAAATTATTTTTAAGCCACTTTGATAAGGGGATTATTTATCACAGCAGCATAACCACGTTTATCCTTGCCAACAGAATATTTTATGTTTTGTTTTATTTGCTATTTGCCTTTACCTGCAGAAAAGCACTATAAAGAAAGGAAGTTTTGTATATTTTATTTTATACTCTAACTTTGGTGCCTAAACAGTACCTGCCATATAGACAATTGCCAACACTCAATAGTTGAATGAAAATTGAACAAATGCCCTATGAACTAACAGTTTGATACCCTAAAGAAATTATTGCATATCTATCCTAGAAGATATAGGCCTGGCAAGGTGGCTCATGCCTGTAATCCCAGCACTTAGAGAGGCCAAGGTGGGCAGATCACCTGAGGTCAGGCATTTTAGACCAGCCTGGCCAACATGGTGAAACCCCATCTTTACTAAAAATACAAAAAATAGCTGGGTGTGGTGGCAGCCACCTATAATCCCAGGTTTACAGGCTGAGACAGGAGAATCACTTGAACCTGGGAGGCGAAGGTGGCAGTGGACCAAGATTATTGCACTTTAGTCTGGGCAACAAGAAAGAAACTCCATCTGAAAAAAATATATATATATGTAAATATATTTTTTTAATATACAGTATATTATTTTTATATATAGTATACTATTTATATAGTATAAATATATATAATACCTATATATACACACACTAGAAGATATACACAAGAAAGCGTGTGACAATACTATTTTTAATATAGAAAAAACCACATGAGGGAAAATAAAACTTACAAAATATATCATTTTTAGAATGACTAAATTCAGCGTGTTATTTTCTCACAATGGGACCACATAAAACAATAAAAAGGAATGAACTACCATTTTTGATAACATGCTGTCATCTTAGGAATCCAATAGTGAGCAGCAAAAAGTAAATCAAATAAAAACATATAAACATACAGCCATCCATTTAAATTTTAAAAATGGCAAAATGAAACAATAGAACTTTAAAGATAAATACAGAGGTAAGAAAACTATATACAAAATTCATTTTATTATAAACACCCAATTCGAAATAATGGTCACTCTTGGGGAAATGAAGAGAGAGGTGTATAGCATCAGAAGGGGCTTATGGGGAACATTAAGTTGTGGTGATTATCTTTTTCCTAAAATGAATAGTGGATACAGGTTCATTTGTGTTGTTTCCTTTATTATCCTCTGGACCTTAGTTATACTTATATAATGATTATTTGTGTAAAATATCCACAAAAACACCCATGCAGACATATATATATGTGCATACAATTTTTAAAAAAAGGTTTTGTTGGATTATATTTTAGAGGATAAGTGCTGGAGCAGGGGTTTGAATATGGAATTTGAGATCACTCCTGCTTGTGAAACACAGAGAAGTCACCTAGCCCAGCACTGGCCAGCACTCTGCCCCCAAGCCAACATCATGTCCAGTGTGACTGTGCACACAGTCTCCAGCAGGAGCTCCCTCCCCATCCCCCCAACTTCCAGCTGTGTTGCCTCTGCCACTGTGGTGAATGCCTGCAGGGAAGCAGGTACCCCTGCAACTTCTAGCACTCTGCTGCAGCTGCTGCATCTCACACCTGTGTCCCCACCCCCAGCACAGTGGACTCCAAGCCTCAAAGAGCCAGAAGACAAAGTTAAGGTCCAATACAAATCTGCCAGAGTTAGAGCACTCACACCAGGAGTTGGGAGCTGAGTGTTGGCCTCATAAAATCTCCCAGAAATGAAACCAGTTGGCTGAATCTACCTTATACCACAATCAAACCCTCAAGGTCATAAAATAGGATATAAGGGAAAAAAAAATCCAAATGTCAGCAGCCCCAAAGATTGTAGGAACATCAGCCCATGAAGATGAGAAAGAATCAGCACAAGAATACTGAAAACTCAGAAAGCCAGAGTGCCTTCTTTCCTCCAAACAACTGCACCACCTCTCCAGCAAGGGTTCAGAACTGGGCTGAGATGGCTAAAATGACAGACTTGGAATTCAGAATATGTATAGAAAAGAACATCATTGAGCTACAGGACTACACTGAAGCCCAATGCAAGGAAGCTGAAAAACATGGTAAAATAATCCAGGAGCTGACAGACAAAATAGCCAGTATAGAAAAGAACATAACCTACCTGATAGAGCTGAAAAACACACTACAAGAGTTTAATAATGCAATCACAAATGTTAATTGCAGAATAGACCAAGCAGTGAAAACAATCTCAGAGATTGAAGATTGGCTTTCTGAAATAAAACTGGCAGAAAAGAATAGAGAAAAAAGAATAAAAAGGAATGAACAAAACCTCAAAAAAAAGGGGGATTATTTAAAGTGACTGAATCTATGACTGATTGATGTCCCAGAAAGAGATGGGGAGAATGGAACCAATTTCAAAAACACATTTTAGGATATCATCCATGAGAAATTCATCAAACTAATGAGAGAGTCCAATTTTCAAATTCAGGAAAAGCAGAGAGTCCCAATAAGATACTTCACAAGAAGTATCATACCCAAGACACATAATCATTAGATTCTCCAAGGTCAAAATCAAAGAAGAAAATGTCAGAGGCAGCTAGAGAGAAAGGTCAGGTCACCTACAAAGGGAAGCCCATTAGACTAACAGTGGACAACTCAGCTGAAACCCTACAAGCCAGAAAAGATTAAGGGCCCATATTCAACATTATTAAGGAAAAAACAATCCAACTCAGAATTCTGTATCCAGTCAAACTAAGCTTCATAAGCAAAGAAGAAATAAGATCCTTTCCAAACAAGCAAATGCTGAGGGAATTTGTTACCACCAAATATGGAAAGGAAAGACCATCCCCAGCCACTACAAACATGCACTGAACTACATGGACAAGTGACACTATAAAGCAAGCACATAAACAAGTCTGCAAAATTACCAACTAACATAATGATGAAATTATCAAATCCACACATATCAATACTAACCTTAAGTGTAAATAGGCTAAATGCCCCAATTAAAAGACAGAGTGGCAAGCTGGATAAAGAACCAAGACCCATTGGTATGCTGCCTTCAAGAGACCCATCTTACATGCAATGACACACATAGGCTTAAAATAAAGGAATAGAGAAAAAACTACCACACAAATGGAAAACAGAAAACAGCAGGGGTTGCAATCTTATTTTCTGACAAAACAGACTTTAAACCAACAAAGACAAAATTAAAAAGACAAAGAAGGCATTACATAATGGTAAAGGCTTCAATTCAACAAGAAGAGCTAACTCTCCAAGCAACCAGATTCATAAGGCAAATTCTTAGAGACCTTCAAAGAGACTTAGACTCCCACACAACAATAGCGGGATATTTTAACATCCCACTGACAATATTAGATAGATCATTGAGACAGAAAATAAATATATTCAGGACCTGAACTCAGCACAGGATCAAATTGACCTGATAGATACCTACAGAACTCTCATCCAAAAACAACAATATCCATTCTTCTCATCACCACATGGCACATAAGCTAAAATCAATCACATAATTTAAAGTAAAACACTCCTCAGCAAATGCAAATAACTGAAATCCTAACAATCTCTTGGACCACAGTGCAATCAAATTAGAACTCAAGACTAAGAAATTTACTCAAAACCACACGATTACATGGAAATTGAATAACCTGCTCCTCAAAGACTTTAGGTAAATAATGAAGTTAAGGCAGAAATCAAGAAGTTCTTTGAAATTAATGAGAACAAAGATACAACATACTAGAATATGGAACACAGCTAAGGCAGTGTTAAGAGGGAAAATTATAGCACCAAACACTCACATCAAAAAGTTAGAAAGATATCAAGCTAACAACCTAATATCACAATTAAAAGAACTAGAGAACCAAGGGCAAACAAATCCCAAAGCTAGCAGAAAAAAAAAATAGCCAAAATCAGAGCTGAACTAAAGGAGTTTGAGACACACACAAACACACACACACACACAGAAATTTAAAAGACCAACAAAACTAGGAGATGATTTTTTTGAAAAGATTAATAAAATAACAGACCATAGCCAGACTAATAAAGAAGAGAGAAGATTCAAATAAACACAATCAGAAATGACAAGGAGATTATGTCATTTCTGACCCCAAAGAATGACTGACCCCACAGAAATACAAACAACCATCAGAGAATATTATGAACACCTCTACGTACATAACTAGAAAATCTAGAAGAAAAGGATAAATCCTGAACATATACACCCTCCCAAGTCTGAACCAGGAAGAAATTGAATCCCTGAACAGACCAGTAATGAGCTCTGAAACTGAGGCAGTAATAAATAGCCTACCAACCAAAAGAGCCCAGGATCAGACAGAGTCACAGCTAAATTCTACCAGGTGTACAAAGAAGAGCTGGTACCATTCCTACTGAAACTATTGCAAAAAACTGAGGATGAGGGACTCCTCTGTAACTCATTTTATGATGCCAGCATCATCCTGATATCACAACCTGGCAGAGATATGACAACAACAGAAAACTTCCGAGTAATATCCTTGATAAATATCGATGCAAAAATCCTCAACAAAATACTGGGAAACTGAATTTAGCTGCACATCAAAAAGCTTATCCATCACAATCGAGTAGGTTTTATCACTCGGATACAAGGTTGGTTCAACATATGCAAATCAATAAGTGTGTTTCATCACATAAACAGAACTAAAGACAAAAACCACATTATTGTCTCAATAGATTCAGAAAAGGCTCTCAATAAAATTCAACATCCCTTCATGTTTAAAAACTCTCAATAAACTAGGTATCGAAGGAATATAACTCAAAATGATAAGAGCCATATATGACAAACCCACAGCCAATATAATACTGAGTGGGCAAAAGCTGAAGGCATTGCCCTTGAAAAGCAGCACAGGACCAGGATGCCCTCTCTCACCACTCCTATTCAACATAGTATTGGAAGTCCTGGCCAGGGAAATCAGGCAAGAGAAAGAAATAAAGGGCATACAAATATAATAGAAACAGAGGAAGTCAAACTATCCCTGTTTGCAGATGACATAATCCTATACATAGAAACTCCCATCATGTCAGCCCAAAAGCTTCTTAAGCAGATCAACAACTTCATCAAAATCTGAGGATACAAATTAAATGTGCAAAAATCACTAGCATTTCTATAAACCAACAACAGCCAAGCTGATAATCAAATCATGAATTTACAATTGCCACAAAAAGAATAAAATACCTAAGAATATAGCTAACCAAAGAGGTGAAAGATCTCTACAAGAAGAACTGCAAACCATTGCTCAAATAACTTAGAGATGGTACAAACAAATGGAAAAATATTTCATGCTCAGGGACAGGAAAAATCAACAATCAATATTGTTAAAATGGCCATACTGCCTAAAGTAATTTAAAGATTCAATGTTATGCCTATTAAACTATCACTGAGATTCTTCAAAGAACTGAAAAAAAACTATTATATAATTTATATAGAATCAAAAAACAGCTCAAATAGCCAAGGCCATCTTAAGCAAAAAGGACAAAGCTGGAGACATAACATTACCTAACTTCAAACTATATTATAGGGCTACAGTATAATACTGGTACAGTATACAAAACCAGCATGATACTGGTACAAAAACAGACATATAGGCTAATGGAACAGAATAGAGAACCCAGAAATAAGGCCACACATCTACAACTATCTGATCTTAGACAAACCTGACAAAAACAAGCAATGAGAAAAGGATTCCTTATTCCATAAATGGTGCTGGGATAACTGTCTAGCCATAAGCAGAAGACTGAAACTGGACCCCTTTCTTGCACCATATACAAAAATTAATTCAAGATGAATTAAAGCCTTACAGGTAAAACCGAAAAGTATAAAAACCCTGGAAGACAACCTAGCCAATGCCATTGAGAACATAGGCACTGGGAAAGATTTCACAATGAGGAAGTGAAAAACAATTGCAACAAAAGCAAAAATTGACGAACAGGATCTAATTTAAAAAAAAAAGAGCTTCTGCACTGCAAAAGAAATTATCAACAGAGTAAACAGACAGCCTACAGAATGGGAGGGAATTTCTGCAAACTATGCATCTGACAAAGATCTAATATCCAGAATCTGTAAGGAACTTAAATTTATAAGAATAAAGCAAACAACCCCACTAAAAAGTGAGCAAAGGACATGAATAGACACTTTTTAAAAAGACATTCATGTGGCCAATAAGCATATGAAATAAACCTCAACATTACTGATTACTAGAGAAATCCAAATCAAAACCACAATAAGATACCATCTTATATCAGTGAGAATGGCTATTATGAAAAAGTAAAGGCCCGACACGGTGGCTCATACCTGTAATCCCAGCACTTTGAGAAGCTGAGACAAGTGGATTACCTGAGGTCAGGAGTTCGAGACCAGCCTGGCCAACATAGTGAAATCCCATCACTACTAAAAATGCAAAAATTAGCCGGGCATGGTGGCACACCCCTGTAATCCCAGCTACTCGGGAGGCTGAGGCAGGAGAATTGCTTGAGCCTGGGAGACGGAAGTTGCAGTGAGACGAGATCACACCACTACACTCCCGCATGGCCAACAGTGAGACTCTGTCTCAAAATAAATAAATAAAAAAGTTAAAAAAAAAAAAAACAGATGCTGGTGAGGTTGTGGAGAAAAAAGGAACACACTGTTAGTGGGAGTATAAATTAGTTCAACCATTGTGGAAGACAATGTGGTGATTCCTTAAAGACCTAAAGACAGAAGTGTCATTTGATCCAGCAATCCCATCACTGCATAAATACCCAAAGAAATATAAATCATTCTATTATAAAGACACATGCACATGTATCTTCACTGCAGTACTCTTCACAATATCAAAGACATGGAATCAACCTAAATGACCATCAATGATAGACTGGTTAAAGAAAATGTGGTACATATACACCATGGAATACTAAGCATCCATAAAAAAGGAATGAGATCTTGTCCTTTGCAGGGATGTGGATGGAGCTGGAGGCCATTATCCTTAGCAAGCTAATGCAGGAACAGAAAACCAAATACCACATGCTCTCACTTATAAGTGGGAGCTAAATGACGAGAACACATGGACACATAGAGGGGAACAACACACACTGGGCCATTTGGACGGGGAGGGTACAAGGAGGGAGAGAATCCGAAAAAATAAATAATGGGTACTAGGCTTAATACCTGCATGTTGAAATGATTCAAGTTTACCTATGTAACAAACCTGCACATGCACCCCTGAACTTAAAATAAAAGTTAAGAGAAAAAGAAAAGAAAAGAAAAAAGAAAACTCTGGTGCATTAAGGACACTTACAAAAATGTGAAACACTTGTCCTGTGAGTCACTAGGAGGATAAAAAAACAAATAGAATTTGATACAATGCCTTTCTGCCAAGGGGAACCTCTGTACTGCACTATGTCTCCATCATTTATAACACCTGAGCTTCCTACCGCCTTAGGTTGGGGTGGGAATAAATTCAACAACTGTGGTTACTACTCGTTTTGTATTGATCATTCATTTTCTCCAAGCCAGATACAGTACCAGGCATTTAATATATGGAATCACATCAGCTTCTCAACCTACAACAAGGCCATGTGAACATCCCAATTTTAATAAGAACACTGAAGATCAAAGAAATTTAAAAATTAGTCAGCCACCCAATTGGTATATGGAGGGGCCAGAATTAAGACCTCTGTCACTTGAAAAGGTTTCAGTTTGTTCCAGTGCTATATTCAACCAACAAGAAGGGATTCTATAATATTTGATGTATCTGATGCAGTTTCAAGGGATTTATTTTTCATTATTTCTCTCTTCTAATCCATCTTGTTTTGTAGGTGAGACTTAAAGTCAGCATACTACATAGTTTAAAATCTCATTGCTTTCAAAACAAGACCATTTCCAGAAAGTGATGTCTGTAGTCTTTGCCATGATGATGGTTTCTGCTGCTTAATCTGCCCATGGTAGGTTTTACAAAAGAAAGGTGGTCTTACTCTTGGTCTCATCATAAATTGTAGTTTTGCCCTTTTAAGTCCAGATGGTATTTAGTAAATGCTGTCACCTACATAGGTAACTAAATAGCAGATAATCTCCCTCCCCACCACCAAGTGCACAGGCAAGACTACCTGTCCTTTCACAGGTCAGTGCTGGATGCTGTTGTAAGCAGGCATTGGGCTGCAGGGGTTCATGAGACAGAATCCCTGGTTTCTCAGAGCTCATATACCAGTGCAGGGAAAAAGCAAATACACAGGTAAGCATACAAATGAACAAGACAATTTCAGACAGACATATATGCCTCCAGGCAAACAAAAGAGCATGCAGCACAGTGTTGCTGACAAAGGCAAGAGGAGGACGAGACAGCTCCTACAGATTGAGAAGCTTTCCAAAGAGAGGTCATTTGATCTGAGACCTTAATGCAAAAGGAAAAATAAAACCCTAGTATGAAACTCCTGAGTCATAATATATCAACACAAGGGCACAATAAGTAAGAAGCCCTCCAGCCAGATGGCCAGGAGCAAAGGTGAGTAAGAGGAAAACAGCAGCTGTGGCTTGGGCTTGTGGCGAGGGTGGCACAAGATGGGGGCAGTGATGGGCAGTGGGACATGGTTGGAGCCCCCAGAGCATTGTGAGCAGGGGCCTGAACTGCCGCCACTGTAGATGGTTATTTCTAATGCAAAACAAAAGTGTGCCATTCTAAGGCAATGGCACACACGTTTCTTACTTCTTTTTTTTTAAGACTTTATTCCTCAGATAAGTTTTATGCTCAGAGCAATATTGAGAAGAAAGTATAGATATGTCTCATATATCCCCTATTCTCACACATGCACAGACCCCCCATTATCACACCTTGAACCAGAACTGTGCATTCCTGACATTCAATGAGCCCATATTGATCCATCATCATCACCCAAAGTTTACAGTTTACATTAGGGTTCACTTTTTTTTTTGAGATGAAGTCTCACTGTGTCACCCAGGCTGGAGTACAGTAGCGTGATCTCGGTTCACTGCAACTTCCGCTTCCCGGGTTCAAGTGATTCTCCTGCCTCAGCCTTCCAAGTAGCTGGGACTGCTGGCACACACCACTGCGCCCGGCTAATTTTTGTATTTTTAGAGACAGGGTTTCACCATGTTGGCCAGGCTGGTCTCGAACTGCTGACCTCGTGATCCACCCACCTCAGCCTCCCAAAGTGCTGGGATCACAGACTTGAGCCATGGCGCCCAGCCAGGGTTCACTTTTACTGCTGTACATTCTGTGGGTTTGAACAAATGTATCTACCACTGTAGTAAAATATAAGGTATTTTCACTGTCCTGAAATCCCATCTCTACCTATTCATCCCTCCCTCTCTTGCAATCCTAGCAGCCACTCGTCTTCTTACTGTCTCCACAGTTTTCTAAAATGCCGTATAGTTGGAATCATATCAGTATGTAGCCTATTCAGAGTGGCTTCTCTCACTTAGCAATATACACTTAAGGTTATTCTATGTCTTTTCATAGTTTAGTAGCTCATTTCTTTTTCTATATTTTTTCTTTTTTTGAGATGGAGTCTCACTCTGTCACCCAGGCTGGAGTGCAATGGCGCAATTTCGACTCACTGCAATCTCCGTCCCCAGGTTCAAGTGATTCTCCTCTTTCAGTTTCCCAACTACCTGGGACTACAGGCACATGCCACCATGCCCAGCTCATTTTTGTATTTTCAGTAGAGATGGGCTTTCAACATATTGGTCAGGCTGGTCTAGAACTCCTCACCTCAGGTGATCCACCTGGCTCGGCCTCCCAAAGTGCTGGGATTACAGGTGTGAGCAGCTCATTTCTTTTTAACACAAAATAATATTCCATTGTCTGGATTTACCACAGTTTATCCATTCACATACTAAAAGTTTTATTAGTTTCTTCCATATTTGGCAGTTATGAATAGAGCTGCTAAATACATCCATGTGCAGGCTTTTGTGTGGACATAACATTTTCAACTGTTTCTTCCATTTTTAATGTCCACTGTTAGTGTTAATTTATAATGTATTTTCAGAGTGTAATCCAAGAAGGCTTTCTCATCTCCAGCCTCATTCTCATATTTAAAACCTGGCTTTCTACACTAACTTGAAACATGAGCTCCTGCACAGCAAAAGAAACTACCATCAGAGTGAACAGGCCACCTACAAAATGGGAGAAAATTTTCGCAACCTACTCATCCGACAAAGGGCTAATATCGAGAATCTACAATGAACTCAAACAAATTTACAAGAAAAAAACAAACAGCCCCATCAAAAAGTGGGCGAAGGACACAAACAGACACTTCTCAAAAGAAGACATTTATGCAGCCAAAAAACACATGAAAAAATGCTCACCATCACTGGCCATCAGAGAAATGCAAATCAAAACCACAATGAGATACCATCTCACACCAGTTAGAATGGCAATTATTAAAAAGTCAGGAAACAACAGGTGCTAGAGAGGATGTGGAGAAATCGGTACACTTTTACACTGTTGGTGGGACTGTAAACTAGTTCAACCATTGTGGAAGTCAGTGTGGCGATTCCTTAGGGATCTAGAACTAGAAATACCATTTGACCCAGCCATCCCATTACTGGGTATATACCCAAAGGACTATAAATCATGCTGCTATAAAGACACGTGCACACGTATGTTTATTGCGGCACTATTCACAATAGCAAAGACTTGGAACCAACCCAAATGTCCAACAATGATAGATTGGATTAAGAAAATGTGGCACATATACACCATGGAATACTTTGCAGCCATAAAAAATGATGAGTTCATGTCCTTTGTAGGGACATGGATGAAATTGGAAATCACCATTCTCAGTAAACTATCACAAGGACAAAAAGCCAAACACCGCATATTCTCACTCATAGGTGGGAATTGAACAATGAGAACACATGGACACAGGAAGGGGAACATCACACTCTGGGGACTGTTGTGGGGTGGGGGGAGCGGGGAGAGGGGAGGGATAGCATTAGGAGATATGCCTAATGCTAAAAGACGAGTTAATGGGTGCAGCACACCAGCATGGCACATGTATACATATGTAACTAACCTGCACATTGTGCACATGTACCCTAAAACTTAAAGTATAATAATAATAAAATAAAAAAATAAAAATAAATAATAATAATAATAATTAATAATAAATACAAAAAAAAAGAAACATGTGGGCAGGTTAAGATCATTGCTAAGGCTATGCTCACGGAAGCTCCTGCTTCGTGCCCCACTGTTGTGAGGCCCCGCTCAGACTGCGGGCTTTGGAATCCTGCCCTCACTCTAAAAGAATTTTAGAATCTCATAATAACAACATGGAACTCAGATCGAAGCTCAGATTGTGTCAGGCTTTGGCCACATTCTGGGGACCCGTTTCCATGTCCTACCCTTTACATTGATTCTTGTAATGGAATTCTGACTAACAGTTCCCTGAGTCTGGCTCAACTTTTAAATCTAGAATTTTGTTTATAAACCAGAACCTTGCATCCGGGACTACTTCTCGGTGACAAATTTCCCTGATGATTCTGGGTTCCCATTTTCAACTGAGTAGTAATATTAGTAACAACAAAAATAATAATAGAATATATTTTTCTGTTCTAATTATTAACAATATCTTATTCTTATTCTATTATTTCTTAGAAACACAATGCTAAAAGCTTCTCATGGGTTATCATACCTAAATCTCTCCCAATCCAATCAGGCCCTGTCATTATCTCTGTTTGATGTAGGAAAGAATGTTGTGATTAAGATCTGATGAGAAATGTGCTCAGTCAGTTTTCAGGCAATAGATCCATTTTCCCTGAAAACCTTCAGTCACAGGAGGAAATCTGCATCTCCACCTGGGTCCTGGGTCACAGGACATATCCCTTTAAGACGCCACTTCCTGCCCTGCTGCACCTTTCTCATGCAGCGGCTCACTCCATCACCTTCTGCCTCCACCCGCTCTCCCAGGCTACCTAGCTGTGGTCTCTCAAGGCCATCTGGTACAGGCACACGTATCACCCCTATTTTTATAGAAAGTAAAACTGAGACTTAGTTATGGAAAAGCTTAATATCTGAACACAGGTCCTCCTAGTCTTCTCTAGTGACGTCCTGAGTCATCCACTGCACTGCTATGATGCAAAACCATCGCTTCCTAGAACAAGCAGGTCTGCAGCCCGGTGAATCTCTGAACCAGGAATGCTAGGTTCAGTCTCTTGGCTTCATGTCAGCTCCTCTCAATCATCCTAGGAAGTCAAGCTTGTTGAAACTTACGCACTTGTTAAATAATCTACTCATGGTATGCTTTTGATAAAACAGGTAACTTTGCAGTTTTATTTTCTTTAAGGAGTCCATTATAGTAACTATCCAACAATTCTAGCAGGTACTACCTTTATAGTGAACGTCTCCTCCTGTGGGTAATACTGGCCTGGGAGCACTATCATTCAGGCTAAGAATTAGGGAGGAGAATATTCCTCCTCCAGGGCACAGAACATCAGGGCACATCTACGGAAAGTGTAGTGGACAAAGCTGGAGCAGCTGTGCTCCTGTGGAGAGACTCAGTTTGTTATAGACAGAGCTCCTGCCAGTCCAGCCCCTTTCTGAGTGCACCCTGGTGACTGTATATTTTCTCTACCATTGGAATTGCCCAAGAAAAGATCTTGACAGCTGGGAGACCTGGTTTCTTCTGTGTTAGGGTAACTGGTCCCAGCAGCAACTCCCCTCCAAAGAATGTAATGGAATAGCCCAGTATTATGCACCCCCCAGGCCCACTTCCTTATGCAAGTTTCCTGAAAGGTGTTCTGATTCCTCTGCAAGCATTAGTCACTTTTCTTTCTCACACACCAAGGGAGTAAGAACATAAGATGTAAATAGAGCTAGGGTGTGTTTTTAAAAACTTGTTTGAACATTTAAAACTTTAAAAATGAATAATTATGCAGCTCAATTAAATCAAATAAAGCAAAACCCCACACATCTTAATGCTAACTTGTTAGAGGTTGATTGTGACAGGTTATAGAGACAGACAGGTCTAAATTCTAGGATACCTGAGGAGAATGTTAATGTAAAGAGAAATTTCTTTTATAAAATACAAACACACACATACACAAACACGTGGTATACATGTGTACAGTCAATTACTTCTTATATAAAATATGTTTAAACAAGAAAGTAACTTTAAAAATGGATATTAATATTAGCAGAGCATTTGCTGGAAAATGATTGCTGAAATGAAGAATGCTTAACCGGGTATGGTGGCATGTGACTGTGGTCCCAGCTACTCAGGAAGCTGAGGTGAGAGGATTGATTGAGACCAGAAGGTTAAGGCTGCAGTGAACCATAATTGTGCCACTGTGCTCCAGCCTGGGTAACAGAGCTAGACCCTCTCAATGATCATAATCATAATTATAATTATAAGAGAATTCTAAGTCCTTCTTTTATCAGAGATTTATAGCTTTCTGAAAATTTTTTTGCAATTAGTAAAAGTTGTAACAGAAAACCATCTGGCCAGGCATGGTGGCTTGTGTCTGTAATCTCAGCTATTTGGGATGCTGAGGCGAGGTGATCACTTGAGACCAGAAGTTCAAGACCAGCCTGGCCAACATAGTGAAACCGTGTGTCTACTAAAAATACTATATATAACATATATATATATATATATAATATATATATAATATATATATTATATATATAATATATATATTAATATATATATATAAATAATATATATATATATATAATTAGCTGGATATGGTAGCAAGCACCTGTAATCTCAATCCCTGTTACTTGGGAGGCTGAGAATTGCTTGAACCTGGGAGGCAGAGGTTGTAGTGAGACTTTGTCTCAAAAAAAAAAAAAAAAAAAGAAAGAAAAAAAAAAAAGGAAAGAAAACCATCTGGACCTGTCTAGAAGCTGCAGACGGGAAGTGTCTTGAGAGGATAACAAAGGAACTTGGGACCCCAGAGAACACGCGCAGTCATGGGAGAAAGAGAGAAATAAGACTTCACGACCAAACCTGAGGGAGAGCCGGCCAGAGAGAAGGAGGAGACTGGGAGATGGCTGCTACAGGTGATGGTGGACAGAGGGTTCCGAGGCGTAAAGGGTACTTATTGTCCTTAATCATGTTATAAGCCGTAGCAAAGTCAATTGTAACAAGGAACAGAAAATGCCTGATAGATAGGAGGAAGCATCCAGTTGTAGTGAACAGAGGGGTGATTGAGTTATGAGAAATGGAGGATGGAGTTGTCAACCGCTCTTTTAAAGACTATCTTAGTTCCTTCAGGCTGCTGTGACAGAATGCCATAGACTGGGTGGCTTAAACAACAGTAATTTATTGCTGACAGTTCTGGAGACAGGAAATCCCAGATCAAGGTATCGGCAGATTCAGTGTCCAGTGAGAGCCTGCTTCCTGGTTCATAGATGGTGCCGTCTTGCTTCTTCCATCACGTGGCGCCTCGTGGTGGAAGGGAGGAGGCAGCTTTCTGGGGACTCCGTCGTCATGACCTAATTACCTCCGACGGCTCCACTTCCTCATACCATCACTTCATATATTGGGTTTAGGATCCCAATATATGAATGTGGGTGGACACATTCAAAGCATAGCAAATATGTAGCTGCAGAAGGGAATAAGGAGCCCATGACACTGGATGGACAGGATTGAGAGATACTATTTAAAGTTGGAGGTGCTGTACTAATGCAAGCATGAATATGTTAAAAGAAAAAAAAGCAGTAAAAATTGAGAGGTTGTAAAATGAGAGAGAAAGGGCTCATGAATAATGGAGCAATTCCCCAGGGTATGGTTGAGGAGGGGATCCTAGATTCAGCTGAGGACCTTGCCACAGGAGGTTTCTGACAGGAGAAAGGGAAGGAGAGATGAACATGTTTATTTTTACATAAATTATTGTGTGTAATTATTTTTGAAATATTCATTTTTGCCTTCTCCATGTATTTTTCCCTTCATTTTCCCTGAGTAATCAGGAGACTTTAGCTGTGCTTTCAAACTCGGGAGAAAGTTGTTCCTGATTTTGTTTTCTAAAACCTATGCCCATTGAATAAGTAAGGGTTTGAGGAAATAAAGAGTTTCTGGGAAGAACATGAGATGGTTGGAGGGAGTGAAGAGATATCCGACAACCCAATGAGCAGGAAAGCTGCAACACAGGCCCTCAGTGGAATGTTCACTGACCACCGGGAAGCCAGGTCCTCAGCAAGGCCTCAGTTGCACCAAGCCTCTGCTTGTCCCAAGAGTGGTACATAAATGCAGTCCACTGAGCTAAACACACCACGTAAAGGACACCACTGTGGCCTCAGCTTGAGCTCCTGTGGGAGTTGATGAACGCAGGAGATACCTAACTGAAACCCTTGAGACATGGGTCAGACTAAGTGAGCCTCGAAATAACCAAGAATAATATTCCTGCTGAACCATTGCCACAAAACTATCAATCTATAATAAAGAACCAAAAAAAAGGCATTTCCTGAAAATATTTTTTAAAAGTATGATTCATATTTGCCATGTAAATGTGTAATTGTCTAATTTGAGGGATTTCTGTCAAATAGCTCTATTTTTGTCAGCATTGGGGGAGGATAGCTCATCTTCTTGAGAGTGTGTGGGTATGGAGGGATTAGGAGAGAGAGGTAAAACTTCAGAAAGGCTGGTAAAATGATCTTTATTCAATTAAGCTAAAGATTCACTCAGTACCTAGCATACGTTAGTCACTGTTCTGGGCACTGGGAATATAAAGAAGGAAAGTACCAACAACCTGACCTTGAGCATCTTTTACTCTGGTGTGGGAAATGGGCAAAGTGGCTGGTTGTGGACTTACAGCAGATGGATCCTTTCACACTCTGCTGGAGATTGCACACCATGGCATTATGATAATTATGATCTCCACTGCAGCCCATGTGTAAGGTCCCAGGATGGGCCTAGCTAGGGCTGGGGTGTGGCAGAGTATTACAGTGGAAATATAAAAACTTAAAAAGTGCTGAGAAATAGTGTGAGATGTCATAGACGCATGTACCCTAACTGGATTAAGAAAGCATTTATGTAAAAAATAAACTAGAAGGAGGCAGAAAAAAAAGAACTATGCAGAAACCTGATGTTTTCATAATATTAAAGCAGAGACATATTGAGTACAAGAAGGTGAAAAGCTTGGGGTTATTGATGGTGATGGTAAAAGAGAAGGACCCTGCATGATTTCAAAGTTGGAGACCTCCAGAAATATGAGAAATTCTTATCATTATGGGATTCTGGGTGGCTGATGTGTAGATAAACATCTCTTAAAGTTGAGAAAGTAAAATCTGAATGTATAGGGTGTTGAATATACATCAAAATGAATATTTACACCTCAAAACTGGGGCAGTTGTGATGATATAAAGAAATCCTGTATGTTATGGGTAGTAATTTACTGGAGATGCTATTGAAGGGGAGGGAGAAGAGTAGATTGAGAAAAAACTTGATTGGTTTTACTTTTTAATGTCAGGAGAAGTGTGAGCCCCTTTAAGCCTTTTGGTTAATGGGGGTATAGTTGAATCTTTACCCTATTGCAAATGATCTAGTAAACCTGGAAGAGAGCCAATGTTTAATTAAAGGCTGGTTGCATAGAAAGTTATCACTGATGAGTTTAGCTGTGAGGAGAGAGTATGTTGTGGAAGCTCAAGAGAAATGATGAGTGCAGAAAGGGAAACAGGAGAACAAGTCAAAGAGGAACACTGAAGAACTTCTCAAGAATGGCTTGATTTTAGTGGATAGAAAATTAAAGGGGGTGAAGAATTTTAATGCCATCAACAGGCCTCTAAGATCTGAGGGGAACCAGAAGTTAAAGAGATTTTTCATGCTAATATACACAGTAACACTGTGAATGGTGGTTATGGTCGTTTTGTCAAAATTCAGTCAGGAAGATGGAAGCTGCTCTTGCACTTAAAAGTTCAGGTATATCAAATGCTGATAGTTTTAATATAGAGAAACTGGAGTGTACACCATGTTGGAAGAGTTGGAGGAGTGAAGGTCAGGCACTCTGCTAAGGACGGTCTCAGCTAGGATCGCAAATATGAGCAATTCTCAAGGAGCCAATTGAACATTTAAGAATTTGTGGATAGCTCCCACTAAACATGTCAGTGTACAGCAGCAAAATGGGTGGTTCTCAGGAGAGTTTTGGAAACCATGAATAGCTGTGTTAGACAAAAATTACCTCTCTTTTCTTTCAGCTTCCCAAATCATATGCAGTTCCTCACAGTGGTCAGCTGAAACCCCAAATCACACTAGTAATGCAGTTCCTGCCTTCCTTTTTTGCAATACAGAGTCAACCTTCGGAGGACATCATGGTGATGTTGTGTTGACAACATGCAATCCAGCAAAAGGATCCATTATGTATTTTACAATCTTCAGTCTTTTATTAGGAATCAATGAGACATATTTTACAATCTTCAACCTTTTACTAGGAATCAGTGAGACTTATTTTACAATACAGTAATGTTTATGTTAGTGACATAGCAATAAAGCATAGCTTTATTATATCATTAATGTGCATTAACATAAAAATATATGTTTAAGGCATACAACATGATGTTTTGATGTATATGTATGAATATACATTGTGAAATGATGAACATATTTTAGATAATTAATATATCTATCACCTCTTTATAGTTACTATTTGTGTGATAAATCAAATCTAAGATCTGTCATCTTGGAAAAGTTCAAGTATACAATAAGATATTGATAAGTATCATCACTATGCTCTAGGTTAGATCTCCAGAAATTATTCACCTTGCTTAATTAGAATTGTGTACCTTTTGACAAATATCATTCTATTTCTCCCTTCCCTCAGCCCCTGGCAACCATAGAAAATCTGCTTCTGTGAGTTCAATTATTATAGATTCTACAAAAAAGGGAGGTCAAGAAGTATTTTCTATGCCTCGCTTATTTCACTTAACATAATCTCTTCCAGCTCTATCCATGTTGTCTCAGGTGGCAGAATATCCTTTTTCTTTTAGGTTGAATAAGATTTCAATCTCTCTGTTTCTTTGTTTCTCTCTCTCCGTGTGTGTGTGTGTGTGTGTGTGTGTGTGTGTAAATTTCTTTATCCACTTATCCATTGAAAATCTTGGAGGTTGTTTCCATATCTGGATGTTCTATCAATTTTTGAAAGTGAAGTAAAAGTCTCTTGCTATTCTTGTGTGTTGCCAATTTCTCCCAACAGACTTGCCAGCATTTATTTTATATATTTAGTTACCCTGATGATGGATATGTATATATATAAAATTGTTATATCTTACTGTCGAACTGATATTACACAATGATTTTCTTTGTCTCCAGTGACAGCTTGTGACTTAAAGTCTATTTTGTATGCTACAGATATAACCACCCCTTCTTTATTTTGGTTACCATTTGCATAAAATATCTTTTACTATTCCTTTACTTTCAGTATGTTGTGAACTTATGTCTGAAGTTAGTCTCTTGCATGAAGCATATCACTGAATCTTGTTTATTCATTTATCAATTCTAATGACTTTTGATTGTGCAGTTTTATCTATTTACATTTAAAGTGTTATTGTTAGGCAACAACTTACTATTGTCATTTTGTTAATTGTTTTCTACCTCTTTTGCATTTTTTTTCTTCCTATCTCACTATCTTCTTTATTATTTGGTGGATTGTTTGGTGTTTTGGTTTGATTCCTTTCCCTTTATCTTCTGTGTATCTACTATAGGTTTTTCCTTTGTGGTTACTAAGAGTCTTGTGCAAATATTATTGGAGTTATAATCATCTATTTTAATTTGATAATAACTTAAATTCAGTTGTATACAATAATCTTCACTTTACCACTCCCCACACTTTGTGTTTCTAAAGTCAGAATTTACTTCTTGTTTATAATATCAACCCATTACCAAAATTTTGTTCCAGTAGTTATTCTTAATACTTTTGTGTTTTAAATTTATATTAGAGTTATGGGTAATTTGCATACCACCATAATAGTGTTATGTCATTCTCCATTTGACTGTATATTTGCCTTTACTTGTGAGATTTGTACTTTCATATGCTTTTACCTTGCTCTTCAGCATATTTTTGATTTCATATGAAAAACTCCCTGAAACATTTCTTATAAGGCACATCTAGTGGTGAAAATTCCATCAATTTTTGTTTGTCTGGAAAATATTCTATTTTTTCTTCATTATGAAAGGATGGCATTGCAGGTTATAGATTCTTGGTTGAAATTTTTTTCAGTACTTTAACATGTAATCTCACACTTTCTTGGTCTATAAGATTTCTGTTGAGAAACCCACTGATAGTTTTATGGAGGTTTCCTTGTATGTGCCAAATAACTTTTCTCTAGTTCTTTCAAAATTCTCTCTTTGTTTTTGATTTTCAATAATGTAATTTTAATGTGATTTGATGTAAACATCTTTATGTTCAATCTGTTTCGAATTCTATGGGCTT
Organism: Homo sapiens; assembly: GCF_000001405.40. Taxonomy (NCBI): domain Eukaryota; kingdom Metazoa; phylum Chordata; class Mammalia; order Primates; family Hominidae; genus Homo; species Homo sapiens. The sequence goes on along the minus strand of NC_000007.14, from coordinate 49,221,984 downwards.
CTTGAGTCAGGCTATTTTCATTCCTAGATTTGCAAAGTTTTGGGGTATTTCTTCAAATAAGTTTTCTGCATCTTTCTTTCATCTCCTTCTGATACTCCATAATGTGTATATGTATATTTTCTTGATTGTGTCCCATAATTTCTGGAGGCTCTCTTAACTCTTATTCATTCTTTTTTTTTCTTTCAGATTGGATTAATTTCAAATGACCTGTCTTTGAGTTTGCTGATTCTTTCTTCTACACCATCAAGTTTGCTATTAAAGTTCTCTGTTGTGTTTTTAAAATTCAGTCATTGAATTCTTCAGAATTTCTGTGTGTGTGTGTGTGTGTGTGTGTGTGTGTGTGTTTGCTATCTTGTTGTTGAACTCCAAATTTTGTTCTTGTATTGTATTCAATGGTTTAATTCTGTCCTATTATACCTTATTAAGCTTTATTAGAAAAACTGTTTTTAGTTATGTGTCACATGGCTGATAGATATCTATTTATTTGCAATCATTTGGAGGAAGTTTATTGTGTTCTTTAGAGGGCATTATGTTTCTGTGTCTTTTTATGATTCTGTATAGCTTTGCACAGGTGTCTTCACATTTGAAGAAGTAATCACCTCTTGCAAACTTTAGGGACTGACTCCAGTTAGGAAAGACCTTCAACTTTGAGGCATGTGGACAGCATGGATATACCGACAGAAAGGGTATGCTGGAGTGTGGTGCAACACTGGGTCTAGTGGAGTGGCGTACCATACACAGGGGCATGTGTCAGATTTGGGTCTGGGAGAGGGAAAGGTGGCTTGATGGCTTAAGCAGCTGGGGTCCATGTCATTATCAACTGTTTGGTCTTTGGTGGTAAAAGATTTAGGGGACTTGCAGTAGTTGCAAAGGTTGCTGGGGTTCTGAGTGGTGTCTGAGTCTAGCAGTGAATGTGCCTGGATAAGTGTAAGCTGGTGTAATAAGCACAAGCTTCAGGGGCCAACTGTGGGCACATGCTGGGTGCTGGAGATGGAGCACCCAGAGCAGTGTTGACTGGGGCAGTTCTGGTGAAGAGGATGCTAGATTAGGCAGCTGAGGTTCATGACAGCAAGCACTGCAGGAAGAGAGATACATGGCAGAAGGTTCTCTGTATACTCTGGCATGTTTTGTTTGAGACACACAAATTTCATTTCACAGGTCTAAACTACAGCAAGCTACTACTGAGAGGACTGGAATTTAGGGGGTATGCACATGTGCCTATGTGTTCAAATCGTCACACAAGCCCTATAATATAAATATCATTCTCACAAATTTAAGAAAATGAAACTAAGGTTCAAGCCAAGTGAGTTTCTGTTACAATGACTGACTTGCTAAATTATCATTAGAATAAGAGGCAAATTTTCTTAAGCTCAAATTATCTGATTTATTCACAAATTACTGTGTTTGCCAGTTCAGGAATAAAATTTAATCATAACATTTGAGTGAAATATTATAGAGCCCCATTTTCTCAAATGGCAAACCCCATCTCAAAGAGTATTCCTTAGCTCATCCTTTCTCCAATGGTTAAAAAAAAAAACACATTCATTATATGCTTGATTCTTAGGCTTCTTATTTCATACAGCATACAGTGTACACTTGTCGACCTCCTTTTAACTAAGTCCCTATTAAAATGACTGTAAAATGACCAAGGAACATACAAGCTAAAACAATGTAGAGCATGAGATGTGGCAGTTAAGAGTTTTGTCTTTGTCTTTGTTTTGGGTTTTATTTTATATTTTTTTGTCGGTAAACTGCCTAATGATGGATTAAATGTGAACGATGTTTGCACACTCTGTCACCAGTGATGCTTGAGGTAGGCATTGCAGGGATCCTTAGTAACTCCATGTTATCAGTGTGAACTGATGTCTAGCGCCCTTCTTCCTCCCTAGCCTCAGGGAGACTGGATATTTTTCATGTTTGTTACCTCAGCTACTTAAGGCATTACATCTTCAGACTGTGCCCAATGACAGGCAAAGGTAGCAATAGTGCAAGGTTTCTCTGTCCTTTGTCTTTCATGGCCACATCTGAAACCTTGGAGGGCATGGTCTTCCTGGGCCTTACATAGCTGTTGCAGCCCACTTCCTGATGGTGTGAGCCCTGCAACTAAAGGATAAACTTAGAGGTTGAGTAATCACAGAATACTCCCAGTCAGACACAGTAAAATTCTGGTCTGTTTGCTTCTAGTCAACTCTATTTCCTTGTAGGCACAACCAAAATATTGTATAAACATATTGCAAAAGCCTAAAACTAGCTCATTTTATCCACTGCCCTTGATTCTCTGTTAATTACCTCAGTCTTTAAGTTAATGACCACTGCTTACAAACATAAGAAATTACAGTCTCAAGTACAAAAGCACCCTATTTAATCTGATTTTTGCTAGCAGGCTCACCCTTTATAAAGTCTGGTAGAGAATGTAAATAGAAGGTGCTTGAAAAGACTATGTGGTTCTATCTCATCAGTAGGAAGTATTACTTATATGCAGTAAGTAAGCATTCTTGCAATGCTTTACTATGCTTTAGGTGATAGGATTTGGCAAGTCCTTGTTTTTTTTATCTCTCAATGTTCTGACCTAGTACTTCTGCCTAATCTCCTAGCTTTATTATAGGAGGTAGGATAAAGCTACATGAAGAAACTAATACAGGTCAACATTTACTACCTTTTATGCACAATTATTATGTATGTATGTAGTTCTATGAAATTTTATCATGTGTGTGGATTCAAGTAACCATTGCCACAATCAGGACCCAGCACTATTCCATAATTACAAACTCCCCAATGTCAACCTTTAATCAAGGCATTCTTTCCCCACCCTTAACATCAGAACCCACTGATTTTTTCTCCATCACTGTCAATTTTTCACTTTGAGAAAGTTATATGAATGAAATCATATAATACGCAACTCTTTGACATTAGTAGTTTTACTCAACATAATAACCCTGAGATCTATCTGCATTATGACTTGGATTAATAGTTCATTCTGTTATGTTCCTGAGTAATATCACCTTGTTTAGATCTACCATGTTATTTTAATCCATTCACCGATTGAAGGACATTTAAGTTGATTCCACTTTTTGGCTATTTCAAATAAATCTGCTATGAACATTTACATATGGAATTTATGTGAATGTAAGTTTTAATTTCTCTAGAATAAATTACCAGCAGTGTGGTTGATTGCTATATGATATGGTAAATGTATGATTAAATTTATTTTTTATATGTCAAATTGTCTTCCAGAGTGGCAATATTATTTTACATTCTTACTAGCAGTGCATAAAAGAATCAGTTTCTCCACATCCTCATCAGCATTTGGTATTCCCAGGATATTCTATTTTAGTTATTTTCACAGTTGTGTAGTGGTATCTTAATCATGATTGTAATTTATAACTTCCTGATGGTTGATGATGTTGAACATCTTTCCATTTGTTAGATATTTTATTTTTATATCTTCTTGGGTAAAGTGTATATTAAAAGTATTTTTCTGGTTCTCTTATTAGAGGTTTGTTTTCTTACCACTGAGTCTAGAGAGCAATTTACATATTTGAATACAAGTCCTTTGAAGAATATGTGATTTATCAACATTTTACAAGTCTGTAATTTGTCTTTTCATCTTCTTAACAGAAACTTTTGCAGAGTAAAGGTTTCTAATTATGATGAAATATAATTTATCTTTTGTTCTTTTGTAGATTATGCCTATAGTGTTATGTTTAAGAACTCTTCATCTAAGCCTAAGTCACAAAGAGTTTGTTCAATATTTTCTTCTAAAAGTTATATACATTTTTATATTTACATTTGTAATCCATTTTAAATTAATTCTATGTAAGGTATAAAGGTGTAAGTATAGTTTGAGGTTTGCTTTGTTTTGTTTTTCTGTGAATGTCCAAATGTTCCAACAAAATTCGCTACAAGGAAGAGCTTTCTTTATTGAATTGCTTTTGTACCTCTGTCAAAAATCTGTTGGCCATTCTTGTGTAGGTCTATTTCTGCATTCTCTCTTCAGTACTATTATACTATTTGTCTACTCCTCTACTAGGATAATTCTGTCTTGATTGTTGTAGCTATATAGTGTCTAAATCAAATAGTGTGTTTTCCCATTGGTTAATTTTTCCTCTTTAGGGTTTATAAGTTTTTTATCGTTCATTGTACTTTAAATATAATGCATACTATTAATAGGTCACCTGATATTGTATAAAATTTGCTTTGCTTCACTAAACTTTGCTTTATGTTGATGTGTTCTCTGGATTTGATTTGTTGGCATGTGTTCATACATTTCCTGTTTCATATGTAACTAAAAAATTAGACTTTAGTTATTCTTTATTGTGTTATCCAAGGTTTGCAATCAGGATATCTTGAACTGTCATTGCTTTGGGAAGCTTTCAGTCAAGCAAGTGGTATCTGTTTCCCACCAAGGAGCAGCAGTCCCAGAATGTCAACCCACTGAATAGCTGGCAGGTGTAATCATCACCAAGAAAGATACCACTTATATAGACAAAGCAATGCTTTACTCACATAGAGAAAGACAGAGTAGCATCAGAATTAACAGTGAGTGTTGGTCCCTTAAGGCCAGTGGGTATCACCTGATGATGGATGCAGGAAGATGATCTGTAGGTATGTATCTTGCGCTGTAGGCAAACGACCTGTTTGCTTCTTGCCAAAAATGGAAGATGAGAGGGCTGGGCCAGGAGCCATAGAACAAAGATGCTTAAGCAGAACAGAAAAGTACACATCAAGCCCAAACCAAAGAAAAATATTCCAAAATAAAGAGATTAGCTCAGCACAGGCTGTGAGGGTGCCTTATTTTTATGCAAGAAATTGTTCCAGGCCCCAGGCCACACTCGTGCAACTGTGCAGTGGTTGTCAAGCTGTGCATGGCTGCCCAGCCCAGCACTTTCCTTTCCAAAACAACTTTCTTGTTGGTATTATATGATTGAGAAAGGTCTGCAAAAATTTCAAGGAATAATTGAGCTTTTTAAAAATGCAGCTTATTTTTGTAACGTGTTTCCTTTCATGTATTTTGACATTTAAATATCTCTAGGTGGAGAAGTAACATCAGTAAGATGGCACAGTAGGAGACACAGCCTTCATGCCCCACAAAGAACAAATTAGATAGCTAACACGAAAATAAACAGCCTTGAGAGGGCTAAAGATTTTAATTAAGAACCTGCAGCAAAACACAAACAAAAGCCACACAGAAAAGATCTTTGGAGAGAATGGCATACCTGGGATGTCTGGCGATGGCTATGAAGAAAACAAAGGGCAGGGGCTCTCAGGATCAGCCATGTGGCAGATGCCACCATGGTCCCCAGTGGCCTCTTCTACAGAGGATATTGATAGCTTTCACCACTGAGGTAACCAATAGTTATTGCTACCGTAAAACCCTCAGAGAGGGAGATGCTGTGTATTCCTTTCCCAAAAAAGGGCAACTTTTGTGCTGCCCAGAACCCAAGCCAGCACCTTCTTAAACCTATGCATGCCCCAGACCCTGGAGTGGCAGCTGCTCCATGCATGTCCAAGCTTCAGACCTAAGCTGCACATCACACCATGTGTGCCCATACCTTAGACATCAAAACCACTTCTACTGCAGTCTATCCCCACTCCAAGTCCTGGAGCCAGGGGTGCTCTGTGCAATCTGGAAGTGCAGTAGTGGGAGTTGGTTTCCTTGCTGTGCAGGTCCGCAGTCACAGCTGATCCTGGGCCCAAGCTCTGTGCCACTGGGGTTGTGGGGTTCAGCCACTCCTGTTGTTTGGCATAATGAAGAAGGAGCCCCAGTACTGGTGCAGTGGCTACTGAACCCCAGACGGAAGTACACTCCAAAGTTGGCTCTTGTTTTGGCTCTTGTCTCCAGATGGCATTGAGCTGAAGCAGCTTGGCTCAAGGGGGCTGGGTGAGGGAAGGGGAATGCACACCTTGTACTCCTCACCCTGGGGGAATGCAGCTGCATGAATTTTCAGCAGTTTTCCAAACTGAGCTCAGGGCTTGTGAGGACTGTGGTATTCTCCTCGAGTAAGGACAGTAGGTGTCTGCTGTGGCAATTGTGGCTGATGTTGATCATCTGTTACCTTTTCCTCACAAGGGGAAGTCACTCCTGATTCCAGGCAAATCCAATCCAGGGAAGAGAGACAAGCCTGCAGAGGCCAGGTGCCCCCATGCTGCCCCCCTGAATTTCCAATCACCACAGGCGGCTCTCCACTCCCCTGCTGCACTCCCGTGCTCTCCCTTCGGCACTCCAGTTAAATCTGAGCTGTTCGTTTGTTGCCTTTATCCTTGCTAGTGAGCAGGACAAACTCAAGGTGTCTCTAGTCTGCCATCTTGCTGACATCACTCTCTAATGGCATTTATCAAAGAAATAGAAAAAAAAAGTCCTAAAATTCGTATAGAGCCACAAAAGACCCCAGATATCTAAAGCAACCTCGGACAAGAACAAAGTTGAAAGCATTAAACTTCCTGAATTTGATTTATATTATAAGGCTATATTAATCAAAACAGTGTGGTACTGGCATGCATGAAACAGGCATACTAGCCAATGGAAAGGACCAGAAACCTAAGAAATAAACCCATACAGATATGGTCAATTAACCTGTTACAAAGGTGCCAGGAATAAATGATGGCAAAAGGATTATATCTTCAATAAATGCTGTTAGGAAAACAATATCTACATACCAGAAAAGAAATAGGATCCATACATGACACTATACACAAAACTCAATTCAAAATGGGTTAGATATTTAAACATAAGATCTGAAAAGCTAACACTCCTAGAAGGAATATAGGGGAAATTCTCCATGGCATTGGTCTTGGCAATAATTTTTGGAAATGACACCAAATGCACAGGCAATAAAAGCTAAAATAGACAAGTGGGGCTACATTAAACTAAAAAGCTTCTACACAGCAAGAGAAACAAATGACAAAATTCAAAGGCAACCCATTTGCCAGAAGAAAATATTTGCAAACCATATCTATAATAATGAATAAATATGAAAAATATTTAAGGTACTAATATAATTCAATTGCAAATAAAAGTAACCTGATATTTAAAAAAATAGGCAAAGGACCTTAATATACATTTTTCCTAGGAAACATACAAATGGCCAGCAGGTATATAAAAAGAACTCAATATCACAATCCCTGGGGAAATGCAAATCAAACTCACAATGGTATACTAACTCAAATTTTTTAGGATGGCTATTATCAAAAAGTTAAGTGATAACTAGTGTTGTAAAGAATATGGAGAAACAGGAAGTCTTACACGTTGCTGGTGGGAATGAAAATTAGTATAGCCATTATGGAAAAAAGTATGGAGGTTCCTCAAAATATTTTAAAAAATTAAAATAATAGAACTACTTTATGATCTAACAATCTTGTATCATGGTATATATATATTTAAAGAAATTAGAAACAGGATTGTAGCGATATCTGCACTCTCATGTTCATTACAGTATTAGTCATAATAGCTAAAATATGGAAATAATCTTAGTGTTTATCAATGAGTGAATGATTAAAGAAATTGTTGAGTAGAAACACAGTGGAATACTATCTAGCCTCATGAAAGAAAGGAATACTGACATTTGTGACAACACATATGAACACAGAAGACATTATGCTAAATGAAATGAGACAGACATGGAGAAACAAATATTGTATAATCTCATTTGTATGTAGAATGTAAAAACATTGAACTCCTAGAAACAGTAGCAGGGTGGTTACCAAGGGTTGAGAAGTGAGAGAAATGGGAAGATGTTGGCCACAGAGCATAAAATATGCTAAATAAGTTCTGGGACCTAATGCATAGCATGGTGACTATAGTTAATAGTAATGTATTATATACATTAAATTCATGAACAGTAGATCTTAAGTACATAGATATGCTAATTAGCTTAGTTGTGGGAATCATTTCACAATGAATAGTTGGCCCTCTGAATCCATGGATTCTGCATCCATGGATTCCACTAACTGCAAATCAAAAATAATGAAAACAGTGGTGTCTGTACTGAACATGTACAGATGTTTTTTCTTGTCATTATTCCCCAAACAATACGTAGTATAACAACTATTTACATAGCATTTACATTGTTTTAGGTATTTTATGTAATCTAGAGATGTTTTAAAGTATACCAAAGGACACTGATATGGTTTGGCTGTGTTTCCACCCAAATCTCATCTTGAATTGTAACTCCCACAATTCCCAAGTGTCTGTCGTGGGAGGAACCCAGTGGAAGGTAATTGAATCATGGGGACAGGTATTTCCAGTGCTGTTCTCATGATGGTGAATAAGTCTCATGCAATCTGGTGGTTTTAAAAATGAGAGTTTCCCTGCACAAACTCTCTCTTTGCCTGTTGCCATCCATGTAAAACGTGAGTTGTCCCTCCTTGCCTTTTGCCATGATTGTGAGGCCTCCCAGACATATGGAATTGTAAGTCCATTAAACCTATTTTTCTTCCCAGCCTCAGCTATGTCTTTATCAGCAGAGTGAAAGTGGACTAATACAGTAAATTGGTACCAGTAGAGTGGGATGATGCTGAAAAGACACCTGAAAATGTGGAAGCGACTTTGGAACTGGGTAACAGGCAGAGGCTGGAATAATGTGAAGGCCTCAGAAGACAGGTAAATGTGAGGAAGTTTGGAACTTCCTAGAGACTTGTTGAATGGCTTTGACCAAAATGCCAATAATGATATGGACAATAGAATTCAGGCTGAGGTGGTCTCAGATAGAGATGAGGAAATCATTGGAAACTGGAGCAAAGTGACTCTCGTTATGTTTTAGCAAACAGACTGGCAGCATTTTACCCCTACCATAAAGATTTGTGGTGCTTTGAACTTGAGAGAGATGATTTAGGGTATCTGGCAGAAGAAATTTCTAAGCAGCAAAGTGTTCAAGAGGTGACTTTGGTGCTGTTAACAGCGTTAAGTTTTACAAGGGAAGTAGACCGTAAAAGTTGAAAAAATTTGCAGCCTGACAATGCGATAGAAAAGAAAATCCATTTTTTTCTGGAGAAATTCAAGCTGGCTGCAGAAATTTGCATAAGTAACAAGGAGCTGAATGTTAATCCCCAAGACAATGGGGAAAATATCTTCAAGGCACGTCAGAGGTCTTCAAGGTAGCCCCTCCCACCACAGGCACAGAGTCGTAGAAGGAAAAAATGGTTTCATGGGCCAGGCCCAGGGCCCCCTTGCTCTATGCAGCATAGGGACTTGGTGCCCTGTGTCACGGCCACTCCAGCCATGGCTAAATGGGGCCAAGGTACAGCTCAAGTTGATACTTCAGAGGGTGCAAGCCCCAAGCCTTGGCAGCTTTCATGTGGTGTTGAGCCTGTGGCTGCACAAAAGTCAAGAATTGAGGTTTGGGAACCTCTGCCTAGATTTCAGAGGATACATGAAAATGCCTGGATGCCTAGGCAGAAGTTTGCTGCAAGAGTGGGGCCACATGTAGAACCTCTGCTAGGGCAGTGCAGAAGGGAAATTTGGGGTCAGGGCCCCCATACAGAGTCTCTACTCGGGCACTGCCTAGTGGAGCTGTGAGAAGAGGGCCACCGTCCTCCAGACCCAAGAATGGTAGATCCACTGACAGCTTGCACCATGCACCTGGAAAAGCCACAGACACTCAATGTCAGCCTCTGAAAGCAGCCAGGAGGAGGGCTATACTCTGCAAAGTCACAGGGGCGGAGCTGCCCAAGACCATGGGAACCCACCTTTTGCATCAGCATGACCTGGATGTGAGACAATGAGTCACAGGAGATCATTCTGGAGCTCCAAGATTTAAGTGCCCTGCTGGATTTTGGACTTGCATGGGACCTTTAGCCACTTCATTTTAGTCAATTTCTCCCATTTGGAATGAGTATATTTATCCAATGCCTGTACTCCCATTTTATCTAGGAAGTAACTAACTTGCTTTTAATTTTATTGGCTCTTAGGTAGAAGGGACTTGCCTTGTCTCAGATGAGACTTTGGACTGTGAACTCTTGAGTTAATGCTGAAATGAATTAAGACTTTGGGGGACTATTGGGAAGGCATGATTGGTTTTGAAATGTGAGAACATGAGATTTGGGAAGGCCAGGAGCAGAATGATATGGTTTGGCTGTGTCCCCACTCAAATCTCATCTTGAATTGTAACTCCCACAATTCCAACATGTTGTGGGAGGAACCCAGTGGGAGGTAATTGAATCATGGGGGTGGGTCTTTCCTGTGCTGTTGTGATAGTGAAAAAGTTTCATGAGATCTGATAGTTTTAAAAATGGGAGTTTCCTTGCACAAGCTCTTTCTCTTTGCCTGCCACCATCCATGTAAGCTGTGACTTGCTCCTCCTTGTCTTTTGCCGTGATTGTGAGGCCTCCCCAGCCGTGCAGAACTGTAAATCCATTAAACTTCTTTTTCTCCCCAGTCTTGGATATGTCTTTATCAGCAGTGTGAAAATGGAGTCATACAGATGTGCATAGGTTATATGCAAATACCACCTCATTTTATACAAGGGAAGTGAGCATCTGTAGATTTTGATATCACTGGGGTATCCTGGAACCAATCAACTATGGATACAAGGGGATGACAATAATGTATGCCTAAACATTATGTTGTACATTTTGAATATATAAAATTTATTTGCCAATTATACCTCAATAAAGCTAGAACAAAAGAAAAATAATCTCAATGTGTTAAAGTTTAATTGTTTTGGTTTTGATCTTGAGTGCATATTTTATTAATATCAAATTAACATTTTTTTCTGATGAATGCTTTTTGCATTGAAATTTATTCTGTTTGATATTAATATTACCAACCACCAGTTCTTTCATTATTTTTGTTTTCTGTTTGCTTTCAAAAACAAAAAATTGATCTTGGGTCTCTCTCTGTCACCTAGGCTGGAGTGCAGTGGTGTTATCATGGCTCACTGCAGCCTCGACCTCCCAGGTTCAGGTGATCCTGCCACCTCAGCCTCCCGAGTAGTTAGGACTACAAATGCGTTCCACCATTCCCTGTTAGGTTTGTATTTTTTGTAGATACAGGCTTTCATCATGTTGCACTGGCTGGTCTCAAAGTCCTGAGCTCAAGTGATCCTCTAGCCTCTGCCTCCCAGAGCGCTGGGTTATACATGTGAGCCCCCACACCCAGCTGCTTTTGTCTTTATTTAGGATTTTTACTGTTTATTTTATTTTCATCTTATGTGTATGATTTGTATATGGTATGTGTAATGAAAAGGTTTTTCAGTGAAAGCCAGCAAAAGTCTTTTGTTACGGGTTAGAATTCAATACAGGTGCCCTGTAGAAAGGCTTGCCCTTTGAGAGTGTAGCCTGGGCTGGCCTTCTTTGGTGGGAACGTGCTTCTTGCAGAGTACATAAGGAGGGGCTTTCTAAGCCTGCCTTGACACCAGACAATGTAAACTCATGGGCAAACAGTTTAGAGGAATGCCGGGAAAGCTGGTCACCTGGCCTTGGAAGGCCTTAAGGAAGCTCTCAGGCCCAATCAGCTCACTGTCTGGAAATGCAGAGAAAGCTCCCAGGGTAATCATCAGAAAATGCTTCTTATTTATGCAGGGTCTTTGGCCATCCAACTTAACTGTATTTCTTAAAATCATACTTGAGAGTCTTTGTCTTGGACTAGAGGAGCTTAACTAAGTCACAGTTTTTGTTGATGTTTTGATTTAAAATCTGTTATCATAATGCATTTTCCTGCATTTTGGAGGAGTTGACATATTTAGCCATATTACATGTTTTCTTCTCACTTCTTCTTATTTCTACTATGTAAATATTACATTTTAAATACAATAAGTTGCTGCCTGTAGGTTTTTAAATGACATAATTAAATGTATATTTATTCTAGGCAATGGGAAGGATGATAGTGTGTTTACTAACAATAAATAAGACTCACTGAGACTTTACTGATTGCCAGATAGTATCTGGCAAAATCTGGCAAAATCAAATTAATCCTTACAACATCTCCATGAAGTCAATACTATTACTATAGCTAGTAATATAATACGGATATGGCTACCACAGCTTTCTTTTGGTTAGTACTTTTGTAATATATTTTCCTCAATGTTTTATTTTCAAAATCTCCATGTCTAAAAGCTATTTCTGTAATAGGCAGCATATCGTTGGTTTTTTAATGCAGTTTGACATTATTAATCTTTTAATTGGAATATTTATTCTACTCACACTTAATATAAGATCTGCTATCATTGGCCTTGCATTCATCATGTTACTTTGTGTTTTCTGTTTGAATGAATTATGTTATGATACTTTTTTAACTGTTTTTGCTTATTTTGAAATGATAAAATATTTTTTTTAATCTATTAACTTATTTGTATATTATTTCTCTGTTATTTTATTGTTGCCTGAAGACCACAAATTGCATCATTGGCATATTATACTGTAATAAATTTTTGCTTTTTTCACTTTTCCAATAAAGCTCGACTCTTAAAAGATTTGAAACCAGTAGGTTACTCCTTTCCCATTTTTTGCAATATTGTTGCCTGCATTTCTAATGCTACATACAATGAAACCTTCACAATGTGCCTACTTTTTTTGCAAATTTTGGTGCTTTCTTTTCTTTCAGGTATAACTGTACATCAACTCTCTATTGCCATTTTACTTCTTACAGAACTCTCTCCTGTATTCTTCTTAAGATGGGCTTGTTGTCGGGTGCAGTGGCTCACCTGTAATCCCAACACTTTGGGAGGCCGAGGCTGGCGGATCACCTGAGGTCAGGAGTTTGAGATCAGCTTGATCAATATGGTGAAACCTCGTCTCTACTAAAAATTCAAAAATTAGCTGGGTGTGGTGACTCGGGAGGCTGAGGCAGGAGAATCGCTTCATCCTGGGAAGTGGAGGTTGCAATGAGCTGACATTGTGCCACTACGCTCCAGCCTGGGAGACAGACTCAAAAAAAAAAAAAAAAAAAAAAAAAAGATGGGCTCGCTGGCAATAAATTCTCTTTTTCTTTGTCTACTATTATTTTTATTACATATTCAATTTGGAAGAATGTTTTCCTGGCTCTAGAATTCTAGATTGGCAGTTATTTTTCTTTCAGAATATGAAACATGTCATTCCACTATTTTCTTGCTTCTGTATTTTTTGTTGTTAATAAATAAGCTGTCATTTTATTATTCTATCCCTGAAGGTAATGCACACCTTTTAACCACTTCTTGGGGAGTCTAGTATTTCTTTAGTAGTCAGTTTTCCAGGATGCCATGCAATCTCAGCATCTCTGTTCTCAAATGGGCTCACACAGTATGATTTTGTTTCTTATACAGATTTTCCCCATTATTGGGGTGAGAGAACTTTACTTCTAGCTTTCTATGTCCTGAGCAGAGACAGAAGTCTTCATGAAAGAGATTATTAAATCACCTATAAGTCAAAAAAAATTGCAAGGGAAATAAAAAATATGTTTGGAAAGGTGCAGTGGCTAAATCCTGTAATCCCAGTGCTTGGGAGACTGAGGCAGAGGATCACTTGACGTGAGGAGTTCAAGACCTGCCTGGGCAGCATGGCGAGACCCCATCTCTAAAAAAAAAAAAAAAAAAAAAAAAAAGTAAAAATTAGCTAGGTGTGGTGACACACGTTGGTAGTCCCAGCTACCTGAGAGTCTGAGGTGGGAGGATCACTTGTGCTCAGGAGTTTGAGGCTGCAGTAAGCTATGATCATCCCACTGTACTCCAACCTGGGCAACAGAGTGAGACACACAGACACACACACACACAATTTTTTCAACTGAAAGATAATAAAAATGCAGAATATCAAAGAAGTTCTTTAAGGGAAATATATAGTTTTAAATGTTTTCATTAGAAAATAAGTTATATATGGAAACTAATAAAAGTCATAGATTTCTAGAATAACAAAAAGAAATGTTTTTATAAAAGAAACATATTTAATATATCAAAGAACAGGGAAAGGACATACAAGATTAAAACTAATTACAAAATGGAATGAACAATAGTCTGAATTAAGCCAAATCTTGCAACCTTCTCTTAAATATTGTGATGTCTTCTTCTCGCTGACCCTATCACAGATGCCTTATTCTACCTCTGATTCTAAACAAATTTTGTCAGCCTCCCCATTACCAGTTGGATGGGCAACAGCATCGCAAACTTAGCACATCCAAAGCTGAGCTGCTGGTGCTGCTCACCCCCTGGTGTCTGCAATATCTTTCCCTCATGCATCCCCCTCTGCAGAGAAAATAGAAATCCATTCTTGAAGTGGGCTGGGCCCTCAAACTCAGCCATCCTTGAATCTATTCCTTCTTATGCACACCTTAGCACATGTAAAGTAGCAGACCCCACTGACTGTAACTTCCAGAGATGTTTAGATTCTCACCCCTGCTAGGTGCCTCCCCTGTTACCACCTGTGCTTTGGATACTAGTTTCTTATCTGGTTTCCCTGCCGCTCCCTTGCCTCTTGGATTTTACTATCAACAAGCAGCCAGAGTGACTACATTGAAACGTATCAAATCAAGTCAACCTCTTTTAAAATTCTTCAGTTACATCCTATTTTATGGAGAATAAACACCAAAATGCACATATTTAAATGCCCATGTGACCCCTCATGTCTGGTTCCCACGTGAAGTCATCAACCTCAACTTCTGCTGCAGACCCATCGGCCAATTTCACTTTAGCCACGCAGGCCTCTCGGCACCCTGGAGCAGATCAGTTTCACTCTCATACCAGCCCTTCCTACATGCTCTTCCTGCTGCCCAGACACCCCCTCCCTGGCTCCCATCTCTGCATAGCCCACTTTCTCAGGTCTTTCTTAACGTCACCTTACCGTCGAAAAGCTCCTGACTATCTTCTCTAAAGCGGCAATGCCCCACCTCCACGTGCCACATTTCTGCCTCCATTCCCTGCTTTATTTCACATCTTAGTACTCAGCACTATTCCCGTTTTTTGTTTTCATGGACTATTTCCTCCACAGAATGGAAACAGCTCAAGGGTGGGTACTGCAGTTTATTGTGTTCACTGCTCTGCCTCAGCCTGTTTGAACACTAATGGTTACAGGCTTGGAATTCAATAAATTGAATTGTCTGATTGGCTGAATGAATTTTTTTTTCTTCCCCAGCTCTGCTGGAGATTGAACATGCCTCATTGCTTAGGTTGTGTGGTTTTTGACGCAGCCTGAGGACAAATGCCTAGTAAGTATAGAGCCAGCCCTTAATTCCCAGTGTGTCAGAAGAAATCCAGGTGTGTCACACTGGATTTTCTCCATTTACCATCATGGTAATTTACCTAGAGTTAATTATGCCAGAAAGTTTACAACAAAGGCAGTAGGATTGGGCAGAATATACTCTCCTGTGACACAGGAGGGTTTTTTATTATTAAACCTTTTGATTTTCCTTATGAGAACCATTCTTAGATTCTAACAAGGCCTCTGGTCACTATTGCACTGTCACAACAAAATGAAGATGACATCAAGCGTGGGAGCAATGGCACATGAAATAGCTTTAAATGACCTGAACCTTGCTGAGCCCATTAAGAGCTAGAAAGCTGTGGTAATAAATGCAGCTCCATCAGAACACCTGCATTATTCTCTGCAGGAATTCTCAGCACATCCCTGAAGTAAGGAAAGAGCTCAGGAAGCTCCATGCCCTGGTCAAGGAGACTGGCAGTGTAAGAGTAGGAAGAAGGAGAGAACAGTCTTCCCATTTCTAGAGGTCTCACTCCCTTCCTTCCTCCTTACCTATGAGTTAAGAGTCCTAAGAGGTCAAGATTTCTACAAAGAGAAAGTAAATAGTTCAAAATCGACAGAAATCAGACATGGGGAAACATTCTAGAAGCTATAAGATTTTTGTATGAAAACATTATGAATTTTATAGTTAAATTATCAGTGTATTAAAAATGTTAATGTATAACTAAATGTAGATTTTATTCTGAATAGTAACAAGGGGAAATTAAGACTACACAAGAGTTTCACTATGTAATCTTCTGGATTGTCATAGCGGAGGAAGCACTCAATAGTGATTTCAGCACCCGTTTTATATAATAGTTTTTTGGCTTCTATAAAAGACCTAGGTGTTTACACAGGGCTTCTCTCCCCAACTTGCACATTTTAAATCCATTTTTAAAAAGGCATTTCCAGGCATCACTTCTTTCTCCTGACAAACATTAGAATATCCACAATACAATTTCACAAGAGTTACCCAGACTCAAAGTTGACCTGGAAGTTCTTCATACAAGCAATGCTTTTATAGCTATTTTTGGAGAAATCAGAAATGCATTCCTATTATAGAATATCCAGTTAGCGCAATTAAATAAAGACTTTGCTGCTATGTCTCAAGGGTGCACAAAAATCTGCTACTTGACCTGCTCTCTACATGGCTCAGCACATTTAAAGGAGGGATATGAAGAATGTCACCCTGGTCAATTAACCAACATAATCAAATGCATGCAAAACAATAATAAAAAGGATTCCTCAATAGCATTCAGTGCTATTATCACTGGCAACAGAAACTTTTTAAATAAAATAATATATGGCAAACTATTTGTTGTAGAAACCAAATATATTGTAAATATATTTATGTATTTCTAGTATTGCTATCAACCACTCATGATTCATTTTTAAATAATATTGACTGAGTGCTACCTACAAACCAAGCACTGGGTAAAGGCCTTTGTTTCTGTGACAAGCAAACAAGGC
The DNA here is from genome assembly GCF_000001405.40 of Homo sapiens. Classification (NCBI taxonomy): domain Eukaryota; kingdom Metazoa; phylum Chordata; class Mammalia; order Primates; family Hominidae; genus Homo; species Homo sapiens. Next base: position 49,205,376 of record NC_000007.14, on the reverse strand, counting down.
AATCTCTGCTCTCATGGAACATGAAGAGTATTAGGGGAGATAGAACATAAACAGGGGAATGAACAGGTAAAGAGGGGACTTTAAAAATGTAAGCCTAAAGTGAATAAGAAAGGGTGTTTTAATCTTCCCATAGAAAATTCCAAATAAAATGTGTAGATACTCCTCCTTCTATGACACAAAGTGCAATTTCTCTCCCTTTAAGTGTGGACTGGATTTAGAAACATATTTTTATAATATGAAATAGAGAAAAAAATGTATTAACTTTGCAGTGGAGAAAGATAGCAGATATCACCAGGCTTCCAGGACATCATGTGAAATAAGCACACTTCATTCTGTGGTATTCTTCCACCACACCCATAACCCCAGTCTAATTATGAGAAAATGTCAGACAAACACAGACTCAAGATGTGTTTTGGAGGCAAGTCTCATGAAGTTGGATATGGGCTGTCTAGAGCAGGCAGGGAGGTGGAGTAGTAAAGCTTGACCCATCGGTTTCCAGATTGAGCTGCTGGTTTTTGTTGGATTTATTATTGATGTACATAAAATGGGTTTGAGACTGTTTTGGTTTGGAAATCTGATTGTTGAGATACTTAGGTTGCATATATGATCATGAAGCACCACAAAGATACCTAGACTTTCTGTGTCCATGTGGGAGTTGTTAGGATAGAAAAGTCATTTGAAAACAGGCGATCCCAGGAAGCGATGAAAAGTGCATTGAGGGGACAAGTGGAGAAGGGACCAACAAGCAAAGCAAAGGAGGCAGGGACAGAAAGGCTGAGAGGTAATAATAATAACAATAAAACTAGACAAAAAAGAATCCAAGAGGGGAGAGGCTTTCAGTAACAACAGAATTAGCAGCCATGTTGAACACAGTCCAGAGGTTGAGAAGGGAGGAAGATGATCCATACAGCTTGTCAGAGAGCAGGACAAATGACTTTCAGGACAATGTCAGGGTAGTGGCCTGAGAAGAAGCTAGATTGGCATGAAGAAGAAGTCAGAGGTGGAAGCAGTGCCTGGAGGCAACACGCAGGACTGAGCAGAGGATTGAGACAGCACCCAGGTAGGGACGAGGGCCCGCAGTAGCACTTCTTATTGTCGGGGGTTTATGTTTGCATATTTGTTTTGTATTGTTTTTGTAAGAGGTGAAGTGTAGGGCATGTGTATTGCTAATGAAAATGATCCAGTGATGAGGAGATATTCTCACACACCACGCTAGGATTCAGTGTTACAGACTCACGTGCACTTTGATGGGGCATATGCCATGATTCTGTTTAAAGATGTAAGAAACAGTCACAGGAATTAATTATATTGCCAAAGAAACTTGTTTTATGATTGGTTTTAAAAAGAATAAAACTTGACAAATTAAGGTGTTTAAGGCCTCTAATAATGAAAGGTAGTAACTCATTTTGTTTTGTATTACTTTATTTTAGTTTTGTATTGGCTGCCATGAAACTATACCCCATATAATAATTTTTCATAAATGCATTAAATTATTTGAAATGTTTATGCTTCTTCTTTCTTTTCTGAGCCTTTTATTTTTATGTCAATTGCCATTTTATTAATCTCTTGATTTACATGTTTCTGGTTAGAGCTTCCCTAATATTGCCCCAAAGAGTCAGAGTATAAATAAATAAAGTAGTTGAGGTTGTAGAAACTAATTTAATCATTAAGTTATTTAAATATGCCTGACTGAAAGTCATCAGGATAAGTCACTTGAAATGTATAATTGAATATGAAATATTTATGAATTATTTCAAAGAATAGAAAAAAAATCTAAATGATGCAATTAATTTATAGTCCTCATTTTTTCTTAAGGATTTTACTTGGGGAAGTGGATGAGCCACTGATGCATAGTGGTTTCTTACCACGTTGGAGAATTTTAATGCTCTATTAACTGTTAACTTTTTACACCAGTAATGAAAAATATGCTATTCTTATGTAATTAAGCAAAAGCACATTAATCAAATTTACTTTTGCTCTTTTTAATTTGATCCATGATTATACCATAGTGTGGTTGTGTCTGATTTAGAAAGAATTAGAATTAGTTGAGAAAATAAGGCTTTTCTCTGTGCAAAATTAATGCGCACTTGGTACTGAAAATTTCAATCTGATCAGAGTTCTCATGAAAATAAATATAATAATGATACTGATATTAGCATTATATGACATCTTGTAATGACTATGTGTCAGGTGCCATGCTAAGTGATAAATGAGGGTTTTTATCTAATCTAATCTTCCCCCAAACCCTATCAGGTTAGTGTTGTTCTTATTTCCATATAAACAGTGAGGGAACTGAGATAATAATTATTCCCTTCAAATGTACATAGCTAATAAGTTTCAGAAACTAAACTTGAATTCAGGCAGCCTGATGAAACATGAAAATAAATTTTCTATGAACTAAAAAAAAAATAGAGATTCTGTCTCCTGCTCTTTACCCCTATGTCCTGCCTGAGATGAGGTCTATGGCCTTACCCTACAAACTAGTCATCTACATTCAAATCTTTTTACTACATCTTCCAAAAGAGGTGACTGAGGCAAGGGGATTATTTTGTGCATGCTCCTGCAATGTAAGCCTCCAGTGGCCCTCGGTTACTCTAGCTGATATCGTACCCTCTTGTAGTGGTAGCCAATGCTCTGAATAGACTTGATCCTGAATCCTTTTCTACTCTAAAATCCTACTATATAAATTCTTGAAAAGAGTTATTTATATACTAAGAGACAATTTGATCTCCATCTCCAATGTTCTTTCAAATTGTGCACATTGGACACTGCTACTTGGGCTCCCAGACTCAGTTTAAATGTAAACTCAAAAAAGCATCCCAGATTTCCCCCAGAAGTGTCATGGCTTCTTCCTCAATATCCCATTGCAGCTTGTTCATGTCAGTATTTTGGCTTTTCTAAAACAGTAAGGTGAGGATTAGTAATATGGTTTGGAATGCAGTTTTATTCATATTTATAGCAATAAGGCCCAACACAGACTGGCTTGGTGTAAAACTCAATAAACACATTCGGAGTACTTTTTGAAGGGAAGAAGTTGTGGTTGACAAGGATCTTGGGGAGCCAGGGATCAGATTGATTGAGTCAGCTTTCAAGCAGAAGTAAATGAAATGAAGAGCGGAAATAAGAGAAGCTAGAGAACCACAGCTCGTGCAGGTGGCATGGGCACCCACTCCCCTCACTGTGGACAGGTACATTGCTGACTTCCTCTCTCAAGCACCTGTGCTTTTCTGCCTGAAGTCTTCTCCTGGCAACACGAACAGGCTCAAACCAAGCATTGGGAAGGCTGGAAGCACCATATATGCTCCAGAGAGTAGCCCTCAACCAATGAAGGATCCATGCCTGGGCTTTCTTGCCTCCCAGCTTGTATAACTGAGGATTGTTTTGCTCAGGACACCAGTGGGATATTCCACAGTAACATACTCACTAATGCACCCGGCTGTGGGCTTTTCTTTCTTTCCTGTCTCTTTTTCCCATGACAAGGATCACTTCCTAAATAAATTACTTGATGTTAAATTCTTACCTCCAGGTCAGCCTCTGTGAAAACCCAAACTAAGATAGGCAGCTTGGCAAATGCACTCAGCTGTTGAGGGAACACTACCTCACCTTGACATGCTTATCCATCAAGCTATGCATTTTTGTTAGAGTCAATGTATAGGACAAAGCTTCAAGCTGGTGAGCACACGTCAGAAAAGCAAACTTGACAGGATCTGATGAATCCAGGACTCAACTTATTTGCTTATAGGACTACCTTATGATGCCATAGCAGTATCACTGGTAATATTTCCTAACACATATAAACAAACTTTACTCCATAAATCCCCAGAGGGCTCAGTGGCTCACTTACTGGCTTCAGGTTTTCTTAATAGCCACCTACAGAACTTCTCAGAAGCATTATTACAAGGAATACTAGGAAATGGTTGCTTATTGATTTGAGAGTAAGCTAAATAGTTATTTTGGAAATTTCCCTATGACCATTTTTGTAGCCATTAAGTAGCTCTGTGAATACTGCCAAGTTAGTTAACTTCACTGGGTTTAGGTCCATATGTGAAGACTGGGGACTACTGAATGCTTAGATGATTTGTTTATAAAATATTAAGATCATTGTGCATAACACGTGTTCAATAAATATTTGTTGAGAAATATTTACTTCTATTATTTCTGAGAACTAAATGGTGATGCTTTCCACAAATATCTTGGTAGGTACTAGACTTACTTTTAATAAATAATGGGTTTTGATATATGAATCCTTTGTGATGATAGTTTTTGTGTTATTACAAACTCGAACTTTTATTTGCCATGCACAGTGCCTCTATCTCTGAATAGAAAAATTTAAGCACTCATTGAATCATATAAAGAAACCTCTTCAATCATGATGGGAGCTTTGTCAAGTGGAAATCAGCAGGTTTTCACCCCATACCCAATAAGGAAGAACACGGCAGAGATAAAGTTTAGTCAATGTAAATTCAACTGTATCCATATTTGAATTTATTTAACACTCTGAGTCATTACTAGGACTTGATTTTTTTTCTATCATTACTCTAAGTTTTTTCACATATAAATAATAATTTATTTATTTATAAATATTTTTTCAAGTACTTTCTAATTGTCAAGTGTTGTTAACATCACAAGAGATAAAGTGATGAAAATATACTAGGATCTTACCCTTAAGGAATATAAAGTCTACTGTATATTACAGAAGGCAAATAATATTATATCAAGGGTTTAAAGAAAACTAGCAGTATATGGGGATAGATAACATAGTGACAACTCTTTTAGACTGACTTGTCAGCAGAGGCCTCTCTGAGGAACTGTCATTTTCACAGAGCAGGAAATGGGAGAGTGTGAAGTATTACTGGATTAACAGTACTGGAAAGTGAATATATAAGAGAGGGTGTTTGCTAAGCTCAGTTGAAGAGACAGTGGACATGTTGTGGGATTCAGAAGGATGAGAGAGACCTCAGGTTGAAATAGGAGAATCTTTATTGAGTGCACTCAGGCCCAGCTGACTCACGTCCAAAAGACTGAGCCCGGAACAAAGACAGCACCTGACTTTTATACACACTTTACTAAAGGGGGTGGGCTAGCTCGAAGCAAGCTTACAGTGGCATGAAAGCAGGGATACAGAGGCAGGACAAAGACAGGATTGCATATGACCATTGCCAAGCACCCACGTGTGTTATCTAGGTTTGCCTGGGTATGGGCTTATCCCATAACCTTCACTATGGTGCCCAGGCAGCTGTAGTTCAAGCCTACTCAGGCTTCTCATGACCTTCATGATACTTCTTAGATAAAACAGAACACTTGAAGTCACTAGTTACAGAGAAGAGGAATCTATAAACCCATTCCATAAAACAAAGGAAAATTTGTTTTTCTTCTCTGTATGTTGAGGGAGTGCTGGGAGAGTCTCCAGAGCACATTAGATAATATTAGCAAGACTTTTCCTGGGTTTGGCCTGTGCCTGTTGCTGCCTCTGGGACAAGTCAGCCTAATACAGAAAAACTTATTTCTCTTTCTTTTTAATCTTATTTGTCTTTAATTTCCTGCCTCAGACAGACATGATTAAATTCTCAAGGGGTTTGTCTATATAGTGAGGCTACATGCAGGTAAATTCATAAATGTCACAGCAGTAGAAACTGATGGGATGTGAAAGGTAACTGATATGAGAGGTAGAAATAATGTTTGGGGATACGGTAAAGGAAGGGAAAGTTTCCAGTTTAGAGAAGATGCCGTGATGAGAAGCTTCATATAACAGGAGGTAGGGAGAGTCAAAAGCCAAGCACAGATTTTAAGAGGAACTAGGTTGAGAGAAAATATTGGAGTGCTTGTTATTAGGCTCAATAAAGTGCAGAACTTGGAAAATGAACAACCTGTTTGTTTGTTTTTGGTTGTAGGGTAGGATAAATGAAAGATACGAAGGGAAGAACATTTCTATCTCCATTATCATGCCATGAAATTATCTGTAGCTGACCAATAACTCTGTTGATCTTTGTAAGTTCTACTAGAACCTCGAGAATAATAAATATTCAACAACTCTAAGTTGAGTAGAAGAACGAATATTTCATGAATAATTAGTTCAAAGATTAGATTTCAGTTCTGTCTCTAAAATCTGCTGCATTCCACTTGAGTGGCATTGGGCAAGTACATTAACTTCTGAGCCTCAGCTTCTTTTGTATGAAATTGCAGTCATGAACAAATGTCTGCCATTTTCCAAAGACTAATCACTCAAGAGAGTGAAGACAAAATCAAGATATTTTCAGATATTAAAAGGCACATAAAATTTCTTTTTACATGGTCTTTACAAAAAGAATAGAGGATATTCTCTGGTACAACTTTAGGGTTACAAGTCTGAATAAGATTTCATCCTGGTTTTAGGTATCCATCTAGAAGGAAAAATATAAAACAAGGGTAGTAATAAAATATTATCTATAGAAGAAACATGTGATATTGTAAAACTTAGCTAAACTAAATATGTGAGTATTATTTCTAAAAGTAAAGAAACATGCAAATACATACTTATGTGTATGTCTATATCTATTTTTGCATCTATATCTATATATGTATTTCTCTTCTATCTCTATTGATCCATACATAGATCAATCTATTGAACTATAACTAGAATCCTGACTCTAAATCTGTATATTTTCTAAGTTCCTAGAGTGTTTTCTTATTATTTCTTTACTTTTCAAGGCTTAGTTTTCATGCTATTAGAAGACCTACACTAACTACAGTGATAGACCTTGTATTGTGTGCATATTATATGTATGGAAATATTATTCAGGGACCAAAACAATTAAACCAAGAAAGAGTGAAGTGGTGAATTCTTCAGCAGCGTTAAGAACTAGGGGCTCACAGTCTATGGTGAGTGTGTAGTTAAATAAGCACAACATGCCATTAAAATGCATTTATTGGCAGTGGCCAATGCTTTTCACAGATTCTAAGTGTCACTAGGGTTGGAAAAGAAAGGCCTTAATTTGCCGTTTTAGCTTAGAAGCCCAGAAATCATGCAACCCGGACTGTTAATCTTAACATTTCTATGAAATATTTGGGGGCAGTGCTCTCAAAGTGCATTCAGTTAACTACCATCCAGAGAGTCAGTGGAAGGTACTGTTAAAAGGTAGACAATTAAACTTCCTAATGCAGAATCTTTGATACAGCACCTGGGGATCTCCGTAAGCTTCCCAGGTGATTCTTAGAGGCACAAAAGTTTAATAACAACAATTCTAGACATTCTACCAGTTACAACTCATGATTATATGGATTTTTTTTTTATTTTCTCTTGTGGATTTTGAAATTATAGTAGTTATAATTGAGCTACAATTTCCTGCACTTTGAAATATCTTTGATGTTTATTTATCTTTCCAACTTTCATCAAATAGCTTGTTTCAGCTAGGTTGATTTAACAAATAACACTTAGGGCTCCGGAATGTGGGAAGGTGTATTTTTCAGCTAACACCTGGGTACCCTTTTAAAAATTCTGACAGCAAAACAATATCATAGTAGCTAAATGATTTAGTTTTATCTTGACTATAGAGAATCACAGATGTCCTCAATACTTCAATGTTCCTATTTTCCCCTTAGAAAATCTGTACATATTTGTTTAATACCTGTGTACTCCACACCAATGTCCTCACAAGACAGTTTATAGCAAAAGTAGGAAATATTTTATAGGGAGATATAGACGGTAACTATATCAGCAAAGGCTGTCTGAATCCTGGAAAAGGAGGTTGCATTGACGATCCTAGGGAAGTCTGTGAACTTTAGAGAACTTTAAAAAGTCTCTAAACAAATCTACATTAAGCACATCTAAAAGTACTTGAGTAAACCCCATGTTGAAGAGAGAAAGAGAAAGAAAGACAAAGAGAGAATGAATGTGTCATTTTCTAGGAGGCAGGCATGAGCCACATCAGTGTAAGTACTTTGCAGAGCACCTGGTGTAGAAAGGACCCCTTTTGTTACAGTAGGTAGCTAGTCAGGCATGAGCGGGGCAGGAGAGTACTACCCCCACATCCCACAAGGAAAGTCAGGCAACCATCAGGTGAGGATCAGGCAGTTGTCACACTGCCTCTCTAAAATAATAACTGATCACACCCAGCGCTAGGGGAAGGCAGTTTTCCAATAGATAAAAACACCTATAACTGGTGATTGGCAGCTTCCCAATAAGATCTCAGGAATTGGGTGAGTGAGCTCAAGGAAGCACATTGAGAAGCTAAATGGCAGAGTGTTACTGGTATATGACCTTCTAGATGCATTCCACTGGAAAAGGAAAGCAAGAGGCTGGATGTAGCGCAGTATATAAAACCCTAAGTCCAAGGTCAAATGGGCACTTGACCTCCAAGGTGTCCATTTGGCCCTCTTCCAAGTGTAATTTTCATTTCCGCTTTAAAGTTTTTTTTTTTTTAAATAAACTTTCACTCCTGCTCTAAAACTTGCTTCAGTTTCTTCTTCTGCCTTATTTCCCTCAGTGGAATACTTTTCTTTTGTGGAGGCGAGAAGTGAGGTTGCTGCAGATCTGTACGAATTTGCTGCCACTAACATTTTCAGTTCAATGTAGTACCAATTAGAAACATTAACAACTAAAACAATAAACATCATTTAGATGAGATACCTTCTTACACCAGTCTGAATGGCTATTACTATTATTATTATTATAAAAGTAAAACAATAACAGAAGGTGGCATGGTTGCAAAGGAAAGGAAATGCTTATACACTGCTGATGGGAATATGAATTAGTTCAGCCACTGTGGAAAGCAGTGTGGCGATTTTGCAAAGAACTTAAAATGGAAGTGACATTTGATGCAGCAATCCCATTATTGGGTATATACCTAAAGGAATATAAATTATTGTACTATAAAGACACATGCACACATATGTTCATTGCAGCATTGTTTGCAATAGCAAAGTCATGAAATCAACCTAAATGCCTATCAGTGACTGATTGAATAAAGAAAATGTGGTTCAGATAAACCATGGAATACTACACAGCCATAAAAATAATGAGATCACACCCTTTGCAGCAACATGATTGGAGCTGGAGGCCATAATCCTAAGTGAACTAATGCAGGAACAAATACTGCATGTTTTAACTTATAAGTGGGAGCTAAACATTGAGTGCACATGGACACAAAGAAGGGAATAACAGACACTGGGGCCTACTTGAGGGTAGAGAGTGGGAGGAAGGAAAGGATCAAAAAGCTCCCTATAAGGTACTATGCTTATTATCTGGGTGATGAAATAATTTGTACACCAACTCCCCATGACATGCAATTTACCTACATAACAAATCTGCATATGTACCCCTGAACTTAAAATAAAAGTTAAAAAAGAAAATACTATGCTACATGGAAATTACAATTTTAAATACATCTTGGATCAAAAGTGAAATGCAAAATGCAGTTGCAAAATTTCTAGTAAATAATAACAGAAAGTAAACATGTAAAAATTTTGTGGTACACAGCTAAAGAAGTACTCGAGAAAAATTCACATAATTAAAATAAATATATCAATATAGACTTTTAAAATGACAAAACCTGACATGTAATTTAAAAGTTTTAAAAAACATACAAATATATAGTTAGATAGGTGAGATATATCTTTGTATCTATATATAGTTTATAAATCTATATGTTTACAGAACACTCCCCTTAACACAAAATGTGTAGTAAACTATAACGTAAAATTGAATGTAAGTAGTCTTTCCTTAATTTTCATTTAAAAAGTTATAAAAGTACAGAATACTTATTAAATGTATATTTTATCTGTAATTTTGTTTTCAACTTTAATCACTCTGGCCACTTATCTGTTTCAAAGAGCTAAAAATACATAAATGATTTTAAATATCACAAATAAATGCTGATGAAAAACTCGTAAATATAATTCCATAATTCATGTATCAAAATTTTGTGCAATGTTGAATCCTATGACAAATAAGCAAATAGAATATATGTGTTGATAAAAATTACTTATGTGAGACAAAAGACTTAAGTGTGAGAAGTATAAATTTATCTTATAAATATGCAAATTCAAAATTTATAAGGTTAATTTCTTCAGTGAATTTATAGATAGGTGTTTTGCTTGAGTAAATTTGAACTGAATGTTTTATTTAAAAATGTGATTTTTAGAGTTAGAAAAGCCAATGATGTTTATCATTTTTTTGCAGAAGTAGCTGAATAAGGTTATTCCTACTTGGAGAGAAATGTACATGTTGAAGGGGTATGTACAACCAAAATTATTCTCCAATATCTTTTGGCTACAAAAAAAACCATAATTATTATGATTATATATTTTTTTTTCAGCAAAGTTACCATAGAAGTTCTAATGTTCTGTTGAAATTTCTATTGCAGGATGGTGTTCATTATTCTCTACACTCTATCTCACCCAGCCTCACCTCCAAGCCTTTTTTCCTTCTGGGAATTCTTGGCAGGATACAGAGAAACAGAGCTGCTGGTAAAATATGAAGCACAGGAGTCAAATGTAGATCTTTGCCTTTGGCCACTGTGCCTGCCTGATAAAGACCAGCCACTGTCCCAGCTGTGCCATCATGATCCTGGAAGAGTCCCAGCTTGGGCTGCCTGAGATCCGATGTCATTCAAGTGCATTTGACTTTGGGTTGGAAACTCTCCTAATGAAGTCTAAATGAGGCACTTCCTCATTACCTTTGATACTTCTGACACGGCACATCACCTCTAAGTGGCAATGTGAGGAATTAGTGCTTTGTCTAATAAGGCAGAGATGGATAGATGAGAAAGAAATATCATTTAAGTCAAAACTAAGATGCATAACACATTACAAGATGAATTCATTGTAGTTAAACACTCCATATTTAAAAAGAAAATTGAAAAACATCAAAAGTCTGTTTTTGCATGTCTGTAACTGAGTTGGAGAATTATGAAGTATAATTCACTCGAGAAAATCTTACTTTCACTTGAGAAAATCTCAAAGCATTCCAAAATAGTCTAACATTTTTTATGGTTTGAAAAAAAAATAAAAGTTTGTCTAAATGACCAAAGGAGGTAAGATTTTGCCAGGCACATTCACAATGCAACATTTAGATATTTAGGCAACTCAAATGATTTAAAGTATTTTGTGATTGAACTTTAAATACTTCCATGTGAGAAGAAATGTCTGAAAATGTAAGCATCTCTTATTTTTACAGTTTGGCCCTGGGTGCCTTGGTCTACAGATGATGACTCTTTCTTCTTCTGTTCTGGAATCACAGACAGGAGAGAAGATTGTATTTCCTTACTGAGAAAAGGAGCAGATGCTTAGGGAATTGGAGGATACGAAGATAAATTCTAAGATACGCTGGCCCAAAAAGGTAAAGAATGCTTAACCGTCCACTTTTTCTTCTGACAGTTCTGTAATTTTTGAGCCTTTTTTAGTCTGGTAGTAGCACATGAGGCCAATACGTGAAGCATGTAAGCTCAAATTAAGTGTGTGCTTTGGAGAGGATGGAGGTGGGAAGGACGGAATCAGGGAAAAGATCCCAGGAACAATCTCTGAAGCACCCTCCATTTTTCTAGGGAACAAATTTGAAATCAAATGCTTTGCCTTTCAGGCCTGTTTCCAAGTCTTGCATGTCAGAAATAACTACTTTCAGAGTTCACACACTTGGTCTCAAGTGACTTGCCCCTATCCCTTCTGGGCCTCATCCATCCATCCATCCATCCATTTACCATATTAGGGCTCTTTATAGCCTTGCATTTATTTCTTGTCCTATTTTTCATGGCTTGGTTTTGCAGTTTGCCATTTGCACCCACTTTTGCTTTTCCATCCATATCCTTTTCCATCCATAACCATTGTTCAACCCTCTCTTATAAATTTATACTGCTCCTGACCAGTACCAACCTGGCTTTTTCTACTTTTTGCTTTGTGCAGCTAAAGTCTTCCACCAGGCTCTCTCACAAAGGGTTAGCCTTAAATCGAAAGAAGAGTCAAGGAGGCACCAGACCACCAGAAAGGGGCATGAGGCCACATACCCAGCATGTGTTTTTCTGTAATCTGTTAGCATACTGAGCTCACTGCAAGAAGAGGTATGCTTCATGGGCAACAGCTGGTGATAGTAGCAACAAAACATAAGAACTAGGAGCAAAAAGAAAGAGATTTAATGGGAATTTGTAAAGAGAGACCTTCTCCATCTATGATTATTAATATAAAGCATTTATTTAGATAAAGGCCTGTTTTGGTGTCTTGAGAAAACTGACTAGCTCAGATATTGTATTTTTCTTATCCTTGCTGGTTCTGAGGAATTTTAATTTTAAATTACCAGTTTAAGATAAAGTCCAAATTAGCAAAGGATCCTTATTTAAATGGATGATGTGTATCCAGGAACTAATTCCTTTTAGTTTAGTGGCACAAGATTTGGTAAGGAGCACCCAATAAGATTTTTTCCACCTTAGTTGAAAGGAGTCCTTTAAAAGATGTCATTTTCAATAGACATAACCTGTTGCTTGAAGTCTCCTGGTCCTTAAGATTGTATCTTCTGGGAGTTCACTGTAGAAAGAGTCTTACTGAATTACACTCTTTAGTTAGCTGCCTTATAAGCCTCCTGCAATAATACAACATATCCCCTATTAGTATCATAGATCTATACTTTTCTGAAAATAATTTTATAGACCTGCCTGTTATAATTTCCAATGGAAACAGTTGGTATTTAGCAAAAGGAGTTGATCTTAGTTTAAGCAAAACCAATGGAAAAGCTTTTGGCCAAGGAATTTAAAAAATCTCAGTTAATTTTGCCAGTTGAGTTTGATTATTTTGTTTGTGCTTTCCGCTAAGCCAGATGACTGAGGGTGATAGGCACAATGAAAATGTTGGAGAGTGAGCCAGCTTTTGTATACTGACTGGATTATTTGCCAATAAAATGACTACCTCTGTTGCTGTGAAGTTCTCGCGAAACTCCCCAAGTCAGAATAATTTTTTCTAAGAGAATTTTACTTACTGCTAAGGCTGTTGTTCTTCTGGATGGAAATGCTTCTACTTTATGAGAAAACATACAAACTGTTACTAGAATGTACTTGACTCCTTCTGATGGTGGTAGCTGAATAAAATCTAGTTGCTATACCTTGAAAGGGCTTTCTGGTAAAGGAAAAGTACCTTGAAAACTATGTAAATGTTTCCCTGGATTATGTTTGGCGCAGATATGATGATTATATTGTTTTCTCCAAGGAACCATCTTACTGGGGCTCCAATGAGTTAAAACATGAACATAAGTTAAGAAAGATGATTGTAATTTGATTGGAAGTATAACTAGACCATTTGGTCTATACAACAGCCCAGTCTTGGAAGAGTATGTTTCCCTTTTGTCTCCCAATTTTCTTGTTTTATTTTTGGAGCTTTGGATTAAACTAATTTTATATCAAAATCAAGCGCTTTTTGAAAGCTAAAATGGGTTGATTTTCTTGTTCAGATACACTTAGGGCAGCTCTTTTTACTCTATTATCTGCTAACTGATTTCTCTTGCTTTCTGTAGTATTTGACTTTGAATGTTCTGGGATCTTGATAATGGCTATATTTTGGTAATAATATAGCTTCCAATAATTATGAAACAGGGTGTCCATTTTTTATGAACTGATCGAAAGAGGTTAGAAATCCTTTTTGTTTCCATAGATTTCCAAAATCATAAGCTACTCTGACCAGCATAAATATTATAAATATTATATAAATTTTCATGTATAAATATTGGAAGTGATCCCTTTTGCCCGTTGACAGGCTTAATTAATACTATTAACTCTACTTGTTGAGCTGAAGTTGCTCCTGGAATATAAGCCCTTTCTGTTTGCTCAGTTAAATATACTACAGCATAACCTGCATGATAATTTCCAAATGCACTCTTTAAGTAAGGTGCAACTGTAAACCAAATAACATCATTGTTAGTAAGGGGGGTTTCGTGCAGGTCCATCCTAAGAGAGAGAAGCTGGTTGTTTAGGATTATGCAATTATGTGGTATTTCATCAGAAGACAGAAGCAGAAGAGTGGCAAGATTTACATTATTACAACTGAAGACTGTAATATAGGGAGCAGAAATAAGAAGAACTTCATAAGAAGCCAGTCTACTAAATGAATAGTGTTGAATGTGATGCAAGTTTAGAAATGCTTTCACAGAATGTGGATCAAAGACAATGAACAAAGATCCCATCATTATTCCTTCATTTGCTTTTATTAGTATTGTAGTAGCAGTTACTGCTTTCATGCAAGGTAGCAATTCTTTAGCCACAGGGTTCAATTGTTGACTATAGCATCCTACAGTTCTTATTTTGATCTCTTATGTTTTTGAGTCAACACCTAAGGCAGTTCCCTGATTCTCATGAACAATCAATAATAATAAGATATTATAATTTGGATGCCTGAATGCTGGGATATCTATAAAACTCTTTTACAAATTTCTTGCAATGATAATTTGTTTTCTTCTGCCCATTCCAGGGGTTCTAGCTTATCTTGTTTTAAAAGAGTATATAAAGACTGAGGTTTTAAGGAGAAGTTTAGAATCTAATTTCTGCAGTATGCTTCCAACCTTAAAATTTTTGTTTCTTAGTTTTTGGGGAAAGGAAAGCCAATATTCTTTTTACTCTATCCAGATTGATAAAAAGACCTTTCTTTGACATTAGGGGACCCAAATATCTTACTTGTTTTGGGCAGAACAGAAGTTTTTCCTTTGAGACCTTGTGTCTCTTTGACACTAATTGTAATAAATTAATTTCAGCTTTTATGGGGGCTTGCTTATCCCCTGAGCAGAGAAGTAAACTGCCTGTATACTCCATCAACGCAGACTTCTTAGGGAAGCTGATATCTGAGAGGTCTGCTTTTATCATTTGCGAAAACTAAGTTGGGCTCTAAGTATATCCCTAAGGCATAACAGTCCCTGTGTATTATCTGTCTTCCCAAGTGAAGGCAAAGAGAAATTAACTATATTTGTCCAAGAAATGCTGAAGAATGTACTACATAGATCTATTAGAGTAAAGAAGTCACCTACAGTTGGAATGGCAGTCAACAGCATATAGGGTACTATTTGATGGGTGCTAAGGGTACTAATCTCCAGCATTCCTGCAGGACCTTAGCAGCGTAAGGTTCATTTTGACTGTGTTATTAATTGCTCCCAGATCCTGTACAAATCTCTGCCCTCTAAAATTTGGTTTCCTTATGTGGATAATTGGAGTGTTTCAATAAATAATTAAGCTTTTCTATATAATCCAAAATTATAGGACTTATCTCTTACAAGGCCTCTGATCTTAGAAGGTATTGGCTAATGGTTGAAAGAAGTTTTGGTGGATCTATTTGAATTTTAATTGGGGCAGCCAAAATTATTTTTCCAATATTGGTGGGAGATTTGACTACAATTTATTTGGTACTATTTTTAATAGCTCTTGAAATTCTTCATTATTTAACAACTTGTTTTTCTCCATGACAATATGAATCGTAATTTGTGAATTAAAAGTATAATATTTTGAAAAACTTTTAGACCTAATAATTCTATTTCATTTCTAATTCTAAGTACATTTCCACTTTCTGAGAGAAAGAGGTGTGGGTATTGTATAATTCTAAAAAGTCTCCCACCATCAGATAAATGGGGCTGAGGGAACCAAGAGGAAAGCACACATTTTCTGTAGGGGACCTAACTGAAAAACTGTTGGTCGAGATTCATATACTGATATAGAACTATCTTTATACACACCATTTGCATTTTTTTTAACTCTGAGAAATGGGACCTTGTAATAATGTGAAATTTATCACTGATAACTTAGCTCCAGTGTCAATAAGAGCCTGTGTTTGTTCTCTATTTAAATTAATTTTAATTTCCCCTAAAGTGTCAGTGAGGAAAAATGAGAAGCTCCCTTTGATTTCCTCAGAGCATACCCACTCTTATTTTTCTTTGGTCTGTTGCTGTGTTTTCCATTTTAATTTTCTACAGTCCCTTTTGAAATGCTTAGGCTTTTTGTAGTAATTGCAAAGCAGGGGACTAGGTCAGTTTTGAAATGTATTAGACGGTTTATGGGCTATAAATTGGTTGGACAATTGTTTTTGTTGTAAACTCATGATCTTATTTGCTTTTCCTTTCTGTTTAACTTCCTCTTCTTTTTTACCTTGGTTAGGGTATGGAATGTTTATCAGCCAAATTAACTAGATCATAAGTTTGAGAGGTAGCCTAACTGGGGCATTGCCTCTTTATTATGACTGCCAGTTACTCATCAAATCTCCAACTTAAAACATTCAAATTAAGGAGAGTATCATTTTGGTAGTTAGCATAACTTTCTTCTGATATGCTTGAATATTGCTTAAGATTTTTCTCAAATCCTTTATAGTTTGTCATTGCAGCCTTTTCAATATTTTGTCAGCATTGTTGTATTTTGTTCTACTGACCTACTCTTTGAAAAACTATGGGGATAGTGTCTAGTAAACCTTTGGCAGTATTGCGAACATCTGCACAATCTTCTTCCGAAAATTTATGAAATACTTTTAGAGAATTTCTCCAATTTGCCTTTGCCATGCAATCTTTGGCTTTACTTTCTGACACTAATATGTGAACCAATCGATACAAATCATAGAATCTGAAATCATAAGTTTAAATGTTTAATTTAAGTGTTTTAACAAATCAAATAGGACCCCAAAGAGGGCCCAGGAATTCTTTCATTATACCTTTAAGTTTTACTTTTGACCATGCTTGATAAATCAAAGCAGGTTCTCACCCAACAAATACAGGGTATTTCCAAAATGGAGCCGGAACAGCAGAACAAGGAGGAGGCGTAGAGGGATGAAAGTCCAGACGGGGAAGTTCGGACAAAAGAGGAGTAGGAGCTGAAAGAGGGAGGATCATTTCAGCAGTGGTTTTTTGTTTGTTTGTTTGTTTTTGTTTTTTTTTTAAATTCAAAATAGTTTCAGATAATCTTTTGTTTTCCTTTGGCAAACAAATGACTTTATCGGAAGCTCTTAGAAGCTTCTAAGTACCGTTGAAAATAGTTTTCCCTTATATTAAGTTTTATTTTAGAGCTGACTTTTTCTAATTGAGAATGCAGATAAACTAGTTTAAGTATTACAAAGGCACTTCATTTTGGCCATTGTAATTTGTGGTCATTATAAGTTATGTGAGACCAGTTTCCTAAACATTTGCATGAAAAGGCACTGTTAGTATTAAATATAAATCCTGCTGGTGTTTCTAATGCTGGCTCTCTCCTTAGGAGGAAGAGTCAGTTTTAGAAATGTTAAGTGCCCATAATTTAGACTTTCCTTTCCTTTTGAATGACCAAAAAGACCTAGTAAGCGTTGTTTGGGATCCAGTGTGCCATTTGTGGGAAAAGCTCCTCAAGGTGTCACCCTTGAGTCAGTTCTTCTCTTGTAGGCATCTCAGTGATCCCAAGAGACTTGGGTACTTAAGGCACCAGGTGATCAACTTTATGTGTGTCCACCAGATTAAGCAAAGTTCCCTGTATGTTCTTAAAAGATTTCCTGTGAGACCATTTCATATCATGGGTGATAAGCTCCAACATTCCTGCAGGACCATGGCAGCCTAAGGTTCATTTTGGCATGGAGGAGCAGTTTCTCATATCTTGAGGACTTATGTCATTCTCATAGAGAGCCTTTTATAATTTCGGTTAGTCAAGAAGAAAGTCAATTGGACTCAGCTTCAAAATATGGCCAGTTTTAAATATTACAAATGTTTTTCTTAAGCTACAGGTATTCACTTCCTCTTTTCAAAGAGACACTGTTTTTTTGTTTTTTTTTTTTTTTGCCTGACGAAAATGTCAAATGAGAGGAAAAACTCCCATTGAAAAACTCTAAGGAGTAGTTCCAATCAAAACCTAAGCCTGAAAGAGAAGTGAAAAACCACAATTTTCAATCAGCAGAATCTCTAAAGAATAACAAATGAAACTCCCACCTTGCAATAGCGCTTCAGTTCCAACCTTGTCAATTCAAGAATGCGTGTAGCTTGAATGAAGTCTGAATCCTCAAACACATGAGTTTGGACTTGAGAGGTCATCTACCTGAGATCCCCAGCGACTCAGCATTAAGTCTTTCATGCTGGTACCAAGGCTGTAGTTATCGGCAAAGTGACAGTGTTCACTGAAGGTTCATTTCGGATCCCTTAGAAACCTTAAATAATGAGATTCAGAAAATACGATTAAATAAAGAGTTTATTTCAGCACAAATTTTGAGTATGAGCACCTGGGAGATACCTACTCCAAACCAATGGAACCAGTATTCCAATGTGGAGAAGTTAAAGCCTCACTTATAGGCATAAACAGACATTTTAGCAAAATTACATCTTCTGTGTGAAACAAATGCACATGTTACAACAATTTGATTGTTTACAGATTACTACATTCCAAGGAAGATTATTACTCCATGAGAAGGAGTAGCGATCTGAGATGATCTTATCTGTGGCACTATATGGCTTTCCTAATTATTTACGGAAAAAAAGGCAGAAATTGCAGCTACATGCCCCAAGACTCAGACCACATAGTCATATTTCTCTCAAGGCACAAGAGAGAAACTCCTAAAACTCTGAAAGTTTCAGGAGCTTTAAGTTTGAATTATTCAATTTTACAATGCTGTTCATGAGGTGCTCAGGAAAACTGAGGCCCATTCCTTGGCTCAATCCCAAAAAAGTGGCAAAGCTGAGAGTAGAGATAATTTTTTACAGACGGTGTTAAGATATGGTTAAATGGAGGGAAGGGGAGGTCTTTGGTTAAACGGTTCTGGCACATTTTCTGATCCACAGTTTACATTCTTAAATCCACAGTTTACATTCTTAATAAAGACATATAGGCTCATCAGGAAAGATGAAAATCAGTGACATAAATCCAGGCAACCCATAAGATTCTGGCCTGAATTGGCTTTGTCCCAAAAGAGCTACTCCCCAGCTGTGACCTGTTTAGTCACCCAGGCCTTACCACCCTTACTGTGTCATCCCTTCTCATCTCTTCATTTGGGTTTGGCTTTATAATGATTTATTTAGGTGGAATTCTTTTTTTTTACACTATTTCTGTAAGCCTGAACTCTATTTGCAAATTTATCTTAGGAAATAACTACTACTTGTACTCTATCTGCATCAATATTTAAAAATACAACATAAAACTGATATAGAAGAGTATTTATTAGAGTGAGACGTGTGCTACCAACCTATCTGAGATACATTAAATATCTTAGTTCGTTGTAAAAGTTAAATAAATTATCATACATACTATCAATAATAGTCATTAAAACCTTGTGTGCAAATGATTTGCAAAAATGTGTTTTATCATACGAGAAAAAAAGACAAAATGAGATATAGAGAAGTTTGACAGCTATGTAAAATATGGATAGGAAAGACTTAATGACATGAAAATTTTTATAATGATTTGATGGAATGGAATTACTGTCAACTTTTAAAAATGTCTATTTACGTGTTTTATTTTGAGAAGAATCAAAATATTTTACTCCAAAATATAACTTTTTGTTATACTTTGAGGTGGCTGTTGAGAAGGCCAGCAAACAAAAATAGCCCTGCAAAGCTGTCTTTTGTGGAGGAGATTTGCATCTGTAGAAAAACTGCATTGACATTGCTCTGAGGCCCTCCCTTGTCTATATCTAGGAAAGATTTTTGTTTTCTTTTTTAGATTCGGGGGTACATGTGCCGGTTGTTTTCACATGGGTATATTATGTAAAGCCAGGGTTTGGGCTTCTGTTGAACCCCTCACCCAAGTAGTAAACATGGTAACCAATAGGTAGTTTTTCAGCACTGACCTCCTTTCTATCCTCCCACCTTTTGGAGTCTCCAATGTCTAATTCCATCTTTGTGCCCATGTGCCCATTGTTTAGGTCCCATTTATAAGTGAGAACATGCAGTATTTGATTTTCTGTTTCTGGGTTAGTTCACTTAGGATAATGGCCTCCAGCTGCAAAAAACATGATTTCATTATTTTTAATGTTTATATAGTATTCCATGGTGTATATGTACCACATTTTATTTATGCTATCTGTTGATGGGCACCTAGGTTAATTCCATGAATTTGCTATTGTGAATGGCAGTGTGATAAACATATGAGTTCAGAGCTCTTATTGGTCAATTAATTCTTTTTTAAGGGGTAGATACCCAGTAGTGAGATTGCTGAAATGAATAGCAAATCTATTTTTAATTTTTTTAGGAAGTTTCCAAACTGCTCTCCACAGTGGCTGAACTAGTTTGTATTCACACCAACGGTATGTAAGCAATCCCTTTTCTCCATGTCATCAACAACATCTGTTATTTTTTGACTTTTTAATAATAGCCATATCTGACTGGTGTTAGACAGTATCTTATTGTGGTTTTAATTTACGTTATCTCTGACACTTAGTGATGTTGAACATTTTTTCATGTTTCTTGGTTGCCCGTGTGTCTTCCTTTGAGAAGTGTCTGTTCATATCTTCTGCCCACTTTTTAATGGGGTTATTTTTTGTTCGTGTGGATTTGTTTAAGTTTCTTATAGATTTTAGATATTAGTCCTTTGTCTGATGCATAGTTTACAAATATTTTCTCCCATTTTGTAGGTTGCCTGTTTACTCTGTTGATAGTTTATTTGGCTGTGCAGAAGTTCCCTAATTTAATGTCCCAATTGTCAATTTTTGTTTTTGTTTCATTTGCTTTTGAAATCTTAGTCATAAATTCTTTGCTTAGGTCTAAAAGTTTTCCTAGGTTTTCTTCTAGGATTTTTATAGCTTGAGATCTTACATTTACATATTTAATCCACCTGAGTTTTTGTATATGGTGAGCAGTAGGGTTTTTTTTGGTTGTTTTTTTTTTTTTTTTTTTTGGACAAAGCCTCACTCTGTTACCCAGGCTGGAGTTCCATGGTGTGATCTCAGTTCACTGCAATCTCAGCCCCCGAGGTTTAATAGATTCTTGTGCCTTAGCCTCCCGAGTAGCTGGGATTACAGGTGTTCACCACCATGCCCAGCTAATTTTTGTATTTTTAGTAGATGGGATTTAACCATGTTGGCCAGGCTGGTCTTGAACTCTTGGCCTCAAGAGATCCACCTGCCTCAGCCTCCCAAAATGCTGAGATTACACGCGTGAGCCACCATACCCGGCCTAGTGTCCACTTTTATTGTTCTGAATACGACCAGCCAGTTTTCCCAGCATAATTTATTAAACAGGCTGACCTTTCTGCAATATTTATCTCAAAGATTAGTTGCTCATAAGTGTGTGGCTTTATTTTTAAGTTCTCTATTCTTTTCCACTGGTATATGTGTATATTTTTGTACCAGTACAATGCTGTTTTGGTTACTATAGTAGTAAGTACCCTTGTAGTACAGTTTGAAGTTGGGTAATGTGATGTCTCCAGCTTTGTTTCTTTTGTTTAGAATTGCTTTTGCTATTCGGGCTCTTTTTTTTGGCTCCATATAAATTTTAGAATGGTTTATCCAATTCAGTGAAAAATTACACATTAAATAAATTTTTATGCCTTTTCTTCTATTTCTATTAATCAGTCTGCCTCATGTCAGTGAATTTTCAGTGAACCTTCAGGAGGCCAAGTTCCCATGGATTCTACAACATCAAACAAATTTTGCTTTTAAAACTGAAAAAAAATTCAAATAACATTGAATTACAAAAGATGTGCTTCAAAAAGAAAAAGAAACTGTCAGCAGAAAGTATAAACATAACTTCTATTATTCTCTTCTTTTTAACTGTGAAAAAAGATTATCTATGGTTAAAAAAATTAAACAATAATCTAACAATATAGTCTACTGATTTGGGAAAAGCACAAACAAGTATCTCAATGGTTTAATACTATTCTGTTCACAGTTCTTCCCACCATCAAATCAAACTGGTACAATTGTAACCATATGATGCAGTTTCCATTGATGCCTAGGCAGAAAATATTCTATTCCTTTAGAAATGTCTTCAATAGCATTATATATTATTTTAAACATACTATATATTTATTTTTTAAAGAAAAAACACAATAGAATTTATCAGAATACTTATAAGACATGAGCTTTAACAATACAAAAACAGCAAGTTTCATGTGGCTGAAATCTCATGTATCATACATCCCAGGGACGTCTGACAGAGGGGGAAGTCAGCCCAAGGCAGTGCTGCTGGGAAGGCTCTAGGCAAATAAATACCTCATCTCATTTTGTTGCCATTCTCTGATCTCCTGTAAGAACTTACCATTGGCTCGATGCTACTGGAATCCAGAGGACTAAGGTGCAGTTAATGCAATCCATTCAACTAATGCAACTCATAAAACTAATGCAGTTCAGGATGAAGAAGGGTGGGGAGTTAGTTTGAAGAGACAAATAGAAGGTTTCTACCGAAAGTATTACTACTCTACCAAGAGAGTAGTAACATGTTGCCCAAGTTTTGTGTCCATATTGCATTCCAAATTTGATTGACCCACCTCATTATGCACATTGCTGAGAAACCACAGGATATCCTCTCCTAACTTCTGAGGGATTACTGTTGTAAAACATGTAACATTGAGGAGTATGAAATATGTGCTTCCTACAGGTAGAGAAGGAAGGAATTTAGTCTCTTTTTACAGGTACACCAAACATCTAGTACTTTTCTTTCCTGAGCACAAAGGACAAAATACCTGACAGTATTTCACTCACTGGGTTGTCACAGAGATGTGCAAAATCCTGCACTGTAAAGAAATGTATGCTCCTTGTGAATATCAAGTAATCTGTGATAGCATTGATATACCATGCAAATATGAAATTCCCCATCCTCCTTCACCTGATGGCTTTACCATCCATTGATTATCTTTACCCTAAACAAATATTTCCTTAAGGATGGCAAAATCATACTATTCTAATATTTTCTTCTTATACTTCTATATTCACTATTTTGCCACCTTTTTTTTTTTTTTTTGAGAGAGTCTTGCTCTGTTGCCCAGGCTGGAGTGCAGTGGCACAATCTCCATTCACTGCAAACTCCACCTCCCAGGTTCAAGTGATTCTCCCACCTCAGCCTCCCGAATAGCTGGGACTACAGGTGCGCATCACCATGCCTGCTAATTTTTTATTTTTAGTAGAGATGGGGTTTTGCCATGTTGGCAAGGCTGGTTTCGAACTCCTGACCTCAAGTGATCCACCTGCCACAGCCTCCCAAAGTTCTGGGATTACAGGCGAGCCCTCCTTTAATTATTAACTTTCTGATTAAAGGGTTGGAATAATAGCCGTCTCCAATAGTAGCAAATATCACTTTTTTCTATTTTTTAAAATAGTATTTGAATACTTTTGTTGGCAAATGTTTAACAAAACTCTTTCCCCTCTGCCTAAAAATTTGACCTTCAGTTAACCTCTTAGCTATGTTTCCCTGGAAACAGATAGAGGGAAAGTTACTAAGCAACAATGCTTATAGTAAAAATTACCATTAATTAGTAAATTGAGTCTGGACTGGAAGAATAATAAATACATGATAGGAAGCCATATCTTTTGTCTTTCCTGAATGCAATGACTTTTGGGACAGTCTCCTCATGAGACCCTGGAAATTATGTCTATGGGGCTGCTCCAGGAAATATCAGCTGCCATAGTGAATGAAGCTAAAACAGGGTAACTTTCTCACCCTCCTGTGTCAGTCATATCTTCTGGTCCCAGAGCTGTCTGATGTGTGCCTGCAGGACTGCTATTAAAGAGGAACATCTGATTCACTCTGCTGGCAAGCTGTGATTTCTGTCCTATATCCTACCAAACATACTTGTCCATATGTGACCTGTCATAACCCGGTGAGTCTGAATGTCTAGAGGAACCTAGGAAGACCCTTGCCTGGACACAGCAGAGCTCCCTTGTGCTGTGGCACAATACGACAGCTAAGCACCAGTTTACACTTTTCTTGTCCAGACTTGAATTGATGTCTCTGAGAAGCTTTTGCTTTTCATATTGGAAAAATGTGTTTGGAAAATGAAATGTGGTCTTCTGGAATGCTCATGGCTACCAGAGTGTCAGAAGCTTCTAGGCCTTTTCTGTGGGTGGAAACAAATAATTTAAAAAACTTAAATTCATAATAATTCCAATTAAACTTTAACACTGGGATAGTTTGACTTAGCTCTTTAGTGGTATACTTGTAGCTCTTTCTCCTTTACAAATAACACTAATATAGTTACTTATTTACTTCCTTCTATACTATAAAAATAATTTCCAAATAATGACACCAATAACTCTATAACAAGCCTGCTGGATATACTGTAATTTCATGTGGCTGTTCTTCTGTAACCTAGTATGTAACTGACTAAATTGTCATGCATATAGTGCTATGTTCTAGATTACCAGAAACAATTTTTCCTCCTTGTAACTATCATATCAATTTGATATAGTTTTTTTTAGTCTGTGTTCAAGTTTTATTTTCTGTACATATATATTTTTAAGTAGGTAAAATATTTATGTGGTTCAACATAAAGATGATGTTAAAATGTATACCAGTCTGTTGGGAATATAGCAATTCAACTCATTTTCATAGGAGAGAGTAACATAGAATAATTAGACATATTAATTCTAAATCAGCCAGCCAGCCATTTGATTTCCAGCTGTGTAATGTGATGGCAAAGAATCCTGAGCAATTATTTAAGTCTGTTTTATTTCTCATATGTGCTCAATGGGGATAATAATATTTAAGACTTTTAGCACAATGATATGCAATTATACTTATATAGATGTTATATATAGTATGTTATATAAACCCAATTTGTGTATTTGTATGTTATGCAAATATGGTATAAATATAGATGCTATATAATTCCTGCAACATGTTAAACACTCTCTAAATGACAGAAAGTTATTAAACCAAAATGCCTACTTATTTATTATATTCATAACCTAATTATTAAATCAAACAGAAAGTTGATTTATCTATTAAGTGAGTTTGGCACTATAAAGAAATCTTCTGGAAAACTGAATCTTTCAGATGTTATCTCTGGTAAGTGACCCCAAATTAAGGTGGTTCTGAGGAAAGTGAACTTTCCATGTAGGAGAGTGATAAAAAACTAAGTTTGAAATAAGTAAGGAAAGACACAACTTTTGCCACTTCCATGAGGAAATGGCCCTGGTAATTTTCTCCAGCCTTTTTCAGTCGCTTGGTCTGCACTAACTCAACTGAAGTCTAGCAAGATTTTTGGCTTTCTAATAGCAGTGGCTTCAGCTAGCGCTTCTCCCTCCCTGGCAAATAAGAAATCCTTCCAATGAGGGACTAGTTAGTGCTCCAAAGTTGTCCACACTGTAGATTCCTTTGCTTCTTGCTCTCCTTCAAAAATCATTACTGAAACTGGATGCCTTCCTTATGCCTTATACAAAAATTAATTCAAGATGGATTAAAGACTTAAATTTCAGACTTAAAACCATAAAAACCCTAGAAGAAAACCTAGGCAATACCATTCAGGACATAGGCATGGGCAAGGACTTCATGACTAAAACACCAAAAGCAGTGGCAACAAAAGCCAAAATAGACAAATGGGATCTAATTAAACTAAAGAGCTCTGCACAGCAAAAGAAACTATCATCAGAGTGAACAGGCAACCTATAGAATGGGAGAAAAATTTACTCTCAAATAATTGAGAGTAATATATGTGAATTTCCATGCCTCTTAAGGACTAGAATGGAAAGAGTTAACAAAAGACTGTGACTTTAATGTTTCATAAATGCTTATTTTATTTGGTTTGCTTGTTTGTTTGTTTTCTGAGCAAAGGGCCAAAGAGAGAACAAAAGCAATGTTGCCTGAGGGATGTAGCTTACAGAAGAAGCAAGAGTTAAAACAGAATTCTTTCAAAACTGTGTGAGTTACTGCACAGTTGGAGCCCCATACATTTGCCTCTTGGTATGGTCATGTGTGTGTAACAAGAATTACAGTTGCTCATACTTACAGTGTCTGGGGGATCTAAGTCTGCTATGTTCTCAGAGGAGCTCACCTTGTTGATATTCTAAAGTTGCAACACCAATGTAAATATTCTTAACTTGTATTTCTCATTTTTATTGCCCTACTCAACATTACTTTTTTTCTTAACACACTGTGCTTTCTAAGCCAAACAACTTCCCCTTTTCACCCTGCTTACATTAATATTATCTTGCTGCTTCTAACTAAAGTTAGTAGAGTTAACAAATCTTCTAACTTTAGACTCTAGACTATGAAAAAGTGCATGACAACAAAAATAATGCAAAACAAGAAGGTAAGATGGAAGGAAGGAAAGGAAGGAGGGGAGATAAATTGAGAGAGAGGGAGGGAGGAAATAGGGAAGAGAGAGAAAGAGATTGATGTTTATGGCTTGAATTCTGCATCTTGTAATAGGGCTAATAAAAGCTCACTTTGTGAGGTTATGTGAGGATTAAGTGAGATAGATAAAGCATGTTAGTGGTGTTCTTATTTTATTAACTTAGAATTGTGGGAAGAAAGGATGGGAAGCTTCTTTCAAAAGTGGAGGTCTTGAAAACTTGAAGATAGAAGAGGGGTCAGCTGAAAACAAAGAGACGTTGCTAAAATGGAGATCAGTGCCACAGAAAATGTACTCAGAAGAGGAGAGTTTAGATGTAGGGCATTAGTGGATTCATTTCAGAAGAGACCCTTCTTGAGAAAGCAATAGGAACAGGGGCTGTAGAAGACCTTACTGATAGGTGACAACAAGTGTACACATGCTTCAAATCAGAGAAGGAGAATTGAATCAAGTACAGTATAGCTGAAGGGTTATGGAATTTGAGAACTTGGACTATATATTATGTTAATCATCTGATTGAGGAATAAATGACTTCTCATTGGCCCAGTTGAAGTCCTTTATTGCTCCCTGAGAACATAGTGTGCAAGTTAGCTGTAGGAAACAGGTCCTGCAGAAGCCCCAGAAGTGAGATCATGAAGCAAAAATGGAAAACTTGAACACAACATTGTGCTTGCTCAGGTTTTCTTATGTAATTCTAACAATTTCTTTGATGAAAAAAGAACCTGGAGTAACAGAATTATTTGGGAAAGTGAAGAATGGTATCCATGCATATGTTTTGCTACCTCAGCCCAAAGTAGCCATCCACCAGTGAAAAATAAGCCATGGTCACTTCAACCCTATTTTCTGTAAATACTCAAGATCCTCTTCCCTGCATTCTCTAACTCAATCTATGCACTTTGTCTCTCAAATTTTTCCCCACTGTTGCATTTGTAATTGTTGAAAGAACCTTTTTCTTTGGTCAAAATTTTAGAAGTGCTACATTTCTTATTAATGAAATTCTTATTTTGAAAAGGAAAGCCATAACTTCACAAAGTGGGTCCACACATTTTAGCTCCAATGTGATGTAGTTGGATACCATCAACATAGACAAGTGCCATTCTTGTTGACTGCCTATTCTTCACAATATGGAAGGTATCAGCATTGACTTTAAGTTTCAAGAAAAGTAGTTACTTGAAATTATGCTCAGTTGTTGACATTTGTAATAGAGTAGACCCTTGACATTTGCAGATTTAGTATTCCAAGTTTTGTCTATTCATGAACCAATATGTCATCTTGTAATATGTACTTTTGCTGAGGCATGAATTTGAATATCATGCACTGCAAAGGCTGGCAGTAACTCTTGAAACGCTAAAAACTTTGTATCTTTGTGATAAATAATACATGAAAGTAACCTGGATTATTGTGATATTAGCAAATTTGGGGATACTTTCAGCTCTCATGATAAGTTGCTAAAGACTTTCAAAGGAGCTTTCCGCTGTATCTTAATAATTCTTATGAATGAATGAGCAGTGGGTTGTCCATCAAATGAAAACGAATTATTGTTTAGATTTGGAACATTTGGAATTGCTGAGAGGCAGCAAGCCTTTGGGGAAGGAGGCAGGGGCTACAGATGAAAAAATGTATAGGCCATCTATGGGATTTTGTAATTTTCCCTGAAGGCAAAGCAGTACATAGATGAGCGTTTGAGGATAATGAATGCCAGAGTTCCCTATTCTTCCGATGCATTATTACCTTGTCATCTATGTCTCCATCTTATTCCCACCCCTGCACATGTTCTTATATATCAAACCAGTCTTTTTTCTTTTTTGGTTTTAGAGTAGAGTTTCCTATCTCCATAGTAGTCTATTTGCCTAAAATTAGAAAATTCAGCCTGAAAATTTCAGATGTAATAATCTATGTGCCAGTTGTATACATAATTCTTTTTCTTTCTATTAAAAAAGATCTGTGAAAATCCTGGAACCATACTTACCCTCTTTCCAGTGATTAAAAAACAACAAACAAACAAGCAAAAACATTCCCATTAGAGAACTCCTTCTCTTCATGCTTCTTTTCTAATGGTTTCTGTAAACCTTTACACTTTTAGGCACTAAAATAAACTTCTTAATTTTGTGCCATCTAAATGGATTTTTCCTATTACTTAGAAGGCGTTGATTTCATTTAGGAAACTAACCTTGCTGACTATACCTCTTATAAGGAAATCTCCGCCCTCACCAACTATAGTGTTTTCAGATGAAATAAAAAATACCCATTTATAAGCAGGCTGTGACAATTTACAAAGAATTTATTAGACCATGGTTTGACACATTGAATTCAAGAAGTTTTAGGTTTTTTTGCATTATGCCTACAATAACCTCCTCAACTATAGTATAAAATGTTGCATGGAGTCACAGTGTCTTGTTCATTCTCGAATCCTGTAGTGTCTACCACAGCACCCACTATAGGGGTGCTAAAAAATGTGTGTGACATAACCAAGATATGTATCAAATATAAACATATTTGGATGAACTGGCCATTAGCTTCCAAGAGGCATTCTGTAAATTCTAGCCTCAATACATATGTCTTCATTCAGATGCAATCTCCCTTAAAATAGTCTTTATTAAGCCAAAGTATGAAGATTTTTACAGAATAGACTTTTGATGAGCTGTTGTGATTCACATAAAATGTAACAATAAAATTCTGTATGTTTGAATTGTAACTCTTGATAATAAAATCACTGCCATTATATGCTGGTCCATTCAAAACACTGTGGCTAATTAGGTTCACACACCTGACAGATGGCTTTCCTCTCCTAAATTGATTAAATGCAATTTAATTACTGACCAAAGAATTCGCAGCTAATTCAGGACACAGATATAAAATTGATTCATCTGATGAAAGCACAACTAAAACTTGGCATCTGAATATAGACTGCATGTGGTATACTCTTTCTTATTGCAAAATACTCATGTAAGAAGAAAATTGTCAACTGATTCACTAGCACTTCTAATGTCTCAATAATTAATTGTATATTTACAAAGAAAGATATGAAAATTCATCTTCTGTAAGCTCTGCTGGCTTCAAACAATTATTAGTTAGTGGGTGTTTGGTTGGAAATCCCTGCTCAACTACTTACTTGATAAAAAATATCGGGTGAGTTGCTTAAGTATCCCAGTTTCATCATCTATAAAATGGGGTCATTAGAAACTATTTTTTTGTGACTAATAGGAAGATTGGGTGAGACACATGTAAGGCACCTAAGGCTCTAAGAAGAAAACATTAGAAATAGGTTAGTAGTTTTTGTTTTTATATTTACTTATTATTCTTTTGACTAAGATAATGTTTATGAACAAATTTAATAAAAAGAAATAAAATCATTGAAAACAAATTAACAAACAAAGCTTACTGAGTTATCCTGAAATACAGACTGGGGATAAAAAGTATGATGAAGCATATTCATGATATCAAGGAACAAATTCTAGTGCAAAATAAATTCTGCATATATAAAAATAGTGATCAGGATATAGATTCAGAATCTAGATGTATGTACTAAGGAAACCACATTGAAAGCTACTTGACCTGAGAACACCAGGAGTGTCTACCTGGAAGAAGTGGCACTTGCAATGAGAACTGAAGGGAAAGTAAGATTTAGATCAACACATAGGAGTGGGGAAAAGGTACTCCTGGGGGAAGAAATATGCTCAAGCCAAAGCTGAGTGAGAGTTTAAAGATTTTCACAAGTTGAATGCAGGCTAATATTGCCTGGGTGTTAGGCAGAGAGACGAGATGTGGTTAAGAATTTCCCTCCTATGTGAGCTATGATTTAAATATGGAGAACAATAAAAATTACATAGGGCCCATGAGTATGTGTGAAGATTGTGTGTTAGTAATCTCAAACCTTAGCTAGGATTGAAGTGATTGGAGCTCTTGTGTCTCTCCAATTAAGACAAGGTCTAAAAATAATAGATTTAAACTATTTAGGTAAGAACTGATGTGACAAGTTGACTTGATGACCTAGGAGAAGAGGATGGCATGTTTAAGAACAGAAGCCATGCTAGAAACACCCTAAACCTCCTCCTCACCTACCATTTTACTCTTCAGTTTGGGCCATCCTTGGGCTCAGGACCAATCTATATTTTAGTGGAGTCACATGAAGAATAGAGCCTTCCAGAAACTCAGATTGAGAGCACTGTGTGAACAGTCGTGCTGTCTCAGCACACCATCCTCTCTAGGGGCAGGAGGCACCTCAGTCAGTTCACACAGAGGTAAATTTCATGACTTGGGGAACATCATAAACTAATCCCAATTTGCCCAGAGAGATGTGATCAATGAGTTTTCTTTCTGAATAACTAATGTAGAATGCTAAACATAGACCTTGCAGTCAACCATTTCTGTTTCCTGATGAAGTTGTCTCTAGTTTAGATTAAACAGTTTATAGTGAGGCATAAGAGATGAACATTCACTCAGTTTACCCTCTCAATAAGAGTTGTGAAGGGGACAACAAAATGGACCCAGCCCACTCATGTGTATAGGATTGTTTCATCAGAGCATGTGGTTGAGGAGATGGATGCCTCACCTCAATGAGTGGTTGCAGGAACCACATTTGTTTTGGGTGTCAAATGACTCCTCAAGCATGATCATCTCAGCTCAGTTCAGGAAGGTTGCTCTCATCCACATCGCTCTGTATATACAATCTCCATTGATTCATCTATGAGTCATTGAGCAAATAAAATGAGATCATATTTATAAAGTACTAAATACAGTATCAGGAATACAACAGACATTCAGTAAATGGTTGCGATACTGGGTTAAGATGTAAGGGGAGATTTGTAGAGAAAATAGGTCTCAAATAAGTCCAGGAAGGATTCTTTAGAAACATGCATCATTCAGTGAGTTTCATTGAATGTCAATAATTTTCTCCTAACAACATCACTCTTCCAGCATCACATTCTTCTCTTTGGCATGGTAAGTCCTGAAAACTGAAGAATTACGTAGTATTTTAGAGAACAATGAGAAATTTCTGGAATTCTTAGAAGAAGTGATTGTTGCTAACACAATGTGTATTTGACCGTGCAAGACCAGGATAGAGAAGAACAATTTTAGGAATGTGTTCAATCTGACCCATATGAACAGGGGAATATCACGTTCAAAGCTTTCCCAGATCAGTAATTTTCTCTCTTTACCTTAAGTCATCCCAAACCATAATAACTAGCCAGGGTCATTATCAACAAAACTGTTGAGAAGAGACTTCCAATTCACGCTTTTCTCTCAATCTTGTCATGTTTGGTGACATGATTCCACCTAACAATCAATTCTTCCTGTATTTCCCCTGGATGTATTACGGCATGTGGCATCAGCCATTGGGTACTCTAAAAGCTCTGCTGCATGTAGAATAAAATGTTTCATGAAGGACTGTTCACAGCTTGTTCTAGGTGATCCCAAATTGATGAGAACAGGAAAGATTTATCTGCATCTCAGTAAATTAAAGGTACAATCAAGACTTTGAAATACAAACCTCCTAATATATTACAGAAAAACCACAGTTTTCCTAGAATTCTTTCTCTGGGTCACTGTGATAAAATCTAGTCCTAAGCAGCAAAGCTCTTTCTTTTTTCTGCTTCTTTTTTTTTTTTTTTGAATTTAGAGATGGGAGTCTCACTACGTTGCCCAGGCTGGAGTGCAGTAGCTATTTACAGACATGATTATATTACATTACAGCCTTGAACTCCTGGGCTCAAAGTAATTCTTCCGTCTTAGCCTTCTGAGTAGCTGTAACTTTAGGCATGCACCACCATGCCAGCAAAGCCTATCTTATGCACTAATGTTGGCTCCTCATAGAAAAAAAAATTCCCTAAGCTAACTAATGTCCATTTATCTTAACAGGACATCATCTTGGTCTCTCCAGAGCATATTTTACCTGGAAAAGTTGACTTTGTTTTAGGCATTTTATTTTGCCCAGTCTGTTCATCAGTAGAAACAGGTATTTATAGCCTGAGCAACATGGTAAAACCCCATCTCTACAAATATATATATAAAATCCAGGTGTGGTGGCACATGCCTTCACTCCCAGCTACTTCGGGGGCTAAGGGGGTAGGATTGCTTTAGCCTGAGAGGTCGAGACCGCGGTGAGCTGTGATCATGCCACTGCACTCTAGCCTGTGTGACAGAGCAAGACTCTGTCTCAGAAATTTTTTAAAAAAAAAGAAAGAAGAAAGAAACAGATATTTTTCATCTGCCTGTCCCTAATCCAAATATGTGGACAGCTAAATTAAGTATCTATAATACCCATATTCTTAAAAATAATCCTTTTTGTACAGATGCATTAAGGTATGGTAAACAATGAAGAACATATTCTCTGTGACTCATTCACTAAGCCGCTGGTCCCATGGTGAGGCACACTTCTTCTTTCAGTGTTGTTCTTCACTGTGAATGTCACTGGTCTAGAAGACATAGTTGTAGGAGTGTAGGCTTGGCTCTCATGAGGTTCCAATCTGCCTTCAAAGGAAAACTGAGAAGTAGAGTCAAGTCTCTGCCACATATTTCAGTTTCAAGCAGTTTCTAATGTGTCATGTATCTTCTTATGGTTTTACTCTTCTGCTTTTGTGTTCATAAATGTCATATCAGCAATGCTTTCCACAGAAACTACATCAAAAAGAATATTCTCATATAATTGTCTTCATTTCTTTCCAAGACAAACTTATTAGGAGTAGAGAAGATACATTCTTATTGATTAAAATACTTTACTTCTTAGGGAAAAATGCTTAGTAATCGAATCTTTCAGTTGTCATAGTTAATGAATATAATTGTATATCTAATCCAGGAAAATTTTTATTTTATGCTTCCTAAGATATACGACCATATACGACCTCTCAGGCTAAAGCAATCCTACCCTCTTAGCCCCCGAAGTAGCTGGGAGTGAAGGCATGTGCCACCACACCTGGATTTTATATATATATATTTGTAGAGATGGGGTTTTACCATGTTGCTCAGGCTATAAATACCTGTTTCTACTGATGAACAGACTGGGCAAAATAAAATGCCTGAGATGACAGAAATATTGTTCAAGAAAATTCCTGCTTACAACATAAAATGTATTTATCAACATCAACATCAGCATAGCTGACACACTAAACATCAGCATTCATTCTAAACACAGATAGGTTTATTTTATTATTTTGAGAATAACTAGGAAGGCAAGATGATGAAAGGAGAATCAATGATAACAGAAACTAAGAGGCTAATAGTAACAATGGAAGGAATAAACGAGAATAGTCATGTGGGTCCAAGACACAGGAGAACCCTATAGACACCGGAGACTGTGGTCTTGGTTGTGTACTTCACAGCACATACCTGGCTGCAGTTCTGTCTGCAATTTAGATATATGTGGCTTTCTCCAAAGCATATCTCTGGCCAAAAAAATTGAATTTAAAGACTCCATACTCACTAAGCCTAGTGACCATTGTTCCTGCCATACACTCAACAAGAAAATAATCAAGTGGTCAGAGAAGACCTCTTGAGAGAGCAGGACCCAAGGAGGGCCTCACAGATCAGGTAAAACTTGGTTCTACAGAAAATAAAGTAAAAATCCTTGCAGATGAAGAAGGAATGGGTCAGTGTGACTATCTGGATTTTGGTGTGTGATATATATGAGTCTCACTAAACATGAATATAAGTCAATTGTCCAAATTGAACAACAGTGCCTCCTGACCCCAGAAAATAGAGTATCAATCAGCCAGACTAGGAAATGTAGATGTAGAATGTCCTAATCAAGAGCAATGGCTTCAAATTCTGACTCTGACATATACTAGCAGTTAGACATAGAGGAAGCTACTTCTTGTGGCCAAACCTCAGTTTTCTCATCTGTGAAGCACGCATAAAAGTAAAATGGGCCTTGTATGACTCACGAGGAGATTAAATGAGGCAATAGTTTAACAGTCTTAACCTTATCTCCAGCTTGTAGTAAAATCTCAATGACTGTCGATTGTAGGCAAAGGACAGTAAAAAAGTCTTCCTCACCTTGCACCACGAATGGACTTCAAAATTTAGTCTCCTGCTTCTGTTTCTGTCTCCTTGCCAATATAAGGTCTCAACACTCACTATCATGCATGTTATGTTTCTGTGGCAATATCACCCCTGACCTGCTCCATCCCTTAACTCTTCAGGTATTTCTATACCATCAGTTCTACTTTCCCTCCTTGAAAGTGTTACTGAAACACCAGGGGTTTGGTCTAGGTCCTGCTGCTGGCTACACAGAAAGCCAATGACTGAGATGCTGAATACTGCCACGGAAGTAGGCTTTAATCAGGTGCTGCAGCCAAAGAGATGGGAGCTCAGTCTTAAATCCATCTTCCTGATAGACTAAAACTAGGGGTTTATATAACAGGGAAGAAATGTAACAATGTGCAAGGAAACAGGAACTAAGGAGGGAGAAGCAAGCAATCATAATGAATGAAGGGTCTTGATCTCATTGTTTGGATGGGATGTGGCGATCTGGTGAGTTTCCATTCTTTGATACTTTTTTTGAGAGGCCTGAAGGTCTTTTCCTGAGGAAGGAACGCAGATAAAACAAATATAAGTTTCAGGCTTTAAGACTATAAGGCTTAATTTCTACAGTTATAAAAAAAAAAAACTGTCTGTGGGACAATCAGGTTGGTTTCAAAGGCTGTTTTCCAAAATCCCCCTCTTGTTATCTGTTCATTCCAACATTTTTTCAAAGACTCCCTCAAGTGTCATCTATTCTTTGAAATCACCCTTGATACATTAGGAAGAACTGTGTGCTTTACATGACAGCTGTAACCTTAAATAGTACCCTGACAAACTAACTACCATCAAGGCAATTAATCGCTTCCATGAAAATCATGGATCGTTAGTATATGGATAAAGGATCTTCATGCTGCTGACCAGTGATTACTCCATTTGCACCCCATAACTAACCAGAGGCATTATTCTAATAAATGTGTGCCATGTTATTTTAAGGTAGGATTAAAAATAATTCTCTATGTCTCAAGCACCTTTCACAGATAATTATTATTTCCTAAGGCACAACTACACATCTGTAATAGCAGAAGTGATTTTCTAGGAAATACGTATCTGGCAGATACACATATTTGCTGATTTATTCATTCTATGGTCTATTAATTTCTGTGTTTAAATAATAACTCATAACTTTTTCGTATGCAAATTTAGTATAGTCTTTGGGATACCAATAGAAATACCATGTGGTAACTCGTATCAAATAGCCAAACAACTGGGGGGCAGCAGAAATATGCAGTTACCCAGACAGTTACATATAAAGTACAAGGGCTGTAAAAGAGACACACTCCATGTCCTTGAGACGACAGTGGATGAGATTTTAAACAACTTTCCAAGAGAAGATCATGTTTGAACTGAAATTTGAAGAATGAACATAAATAACAAAGTAAGTAAGTAGGAAATATATTCCAGGCAGAGTAAACTGCACACACATCTAAAAAGAGAACATAACTATTAAAATAACTGCAAATAGGCTAGCATAAATGAAGCCCAAAGTTTAGAAGGAAGTGGAAAGATAGCACTTATGAAATTTGCCCAGGGATAATATCCCTTTCTCTGTTTCTTTCCTACCCCTTATTTGGTGGGCCCACATACAATCATACCTCACTTAATGGCAGGGATATTTGATGAGAAATGTATCATTAGGCAGTTTTGTTGTGGTAACATCACAGAGTGTACTTACACAAACCCAGATAGTTTATAGTCTATTACACACCTAGGCTACGTGGTTTAGCCTATTGCTCCTAGGATTGCATGTTACTATCACGACTACATAGGCAATTGGAACACAATGCTAAGGTTTTGTGGGTCTAAACATAGAAAACGTACAGTAAAAATACAGGATCATAATCTTCGGAGATCATTATCATATATGAGGTCCCATATTGACTGAAATGTTGGTCATTATGCAGCACATGACGGTACTAACACTAGAATACAAGAAGTGGAAGACGGATGGTTTAATTGTAGTTCAGGAAAGGGCAGTAGGTAGGAGAAAATTTGGAAATCGTTAACATACAGATGGCTGTTGTAGAATTAGGGAAGTTGTCCAGGAGAATATGTAAATTGAGTACAAATGTGAGGCTAAAGAGTAAGAAAACACTAACATTTAAGAGGCATCCAGCAGAACAGTTTCCCATAAAGCAGACTGAAAGAGGTAGGTGGTGGTAGGAGGAAAACCAGCTTTGTGCCATGGAAGCCAGGGTCTGTCAGGAGGTGCCGGAAAAAAGCGGCCATTACATGGTCACCTACCAGAATCCCACCCTTTCCATGCAATGTCCATGTGGAGTCACTTCTTTAGGGATGTGGAAACCCTCAGGAGTGTCATGCCACTGTGGTATGGCATTTGTTATATTTATAAAGTTATTTTATAAATTTTATTGGGAACAAAATTCCAATAGGGTTCTAAATCAAAATTTGAGTGATGGACTCTAAATCAAGAGTCCACATCAGATATATTTCCCTATGCGGTCATGCAATACACAAGATAGTACTTTAAGCCAATAGCTTCATAAGAGAATACTTTGCATTTTATTTCCAGTCTAAATAAAGACAGGTCAATGAGTTCAATAGTTACAACTTGTTCTGTGTGAGTTTTCAGTATTCTAACAGAATTTCCACTGGGAGGCAAATTAATAACTTAATATTACTTTGAAGACCTTTCTTAAAATATAAGTATTCTTAATACACACACAAATACACATGCTCACGCATGCATGCACATGTGTGTACATTTCACACTTTAAAGTTTTGATGTAGATGTACCTTTTTACCCCTCTATAGAAAACTATGTTAAATTTTATGGTTTCCATGATTTTTAAAAGAAATTTGTCTAAAATTCACTATTTAAAAAAACTATGACTTCCTCTTTCCTTATTTCATAAATTACCTAATCATGCGTCTGGTGGAATAAGGACTTGTAACTGCAGCAGCAGCTGGAAATCTAGTTTTCATCTACTTCCTCTCACTTCTGCATAAAATGGATAATAAAACCAGACTGGAAAAAAATAGAGAATATTCGTATTTGAAACACTTTAGTTTTACAAATAATATATATATATAATATATATAATATAATACGTATTTATTTATTTATTTTTAGTTAAAAGCATTTATCATCTTTCTTAACCTGTGCTGCTAGGTATAGGCTACTATCTTAGCCCATTTTTTTGTTGTTGCTCTAAGAGAATACTTGAGGCTGGGTAATTTATAAAGAAAAGGGATTTATTTATCTAATTGGTTCTGCTGGCTGGAAGTTCATGGGCATGGAGCTGTCATCTACTAGGGTTCTGGTGAGGGCCTTAGGCTGCTTCCACTCATGGCAGAGAACTGAAAACTGAAGCGGAGCCAATGTGTGCCAAGAGATCACGTGAGGAGGGAGGGAGCCAAGAGGGAGAAACCAAGGAAGCCAGAATCTTTAATAACCTCCTCTTGAGGGACCATACCCATTCCGCACACACTCACTCCTGAGAGAGGGCATTTGCCTATTCATGAGTGACCTGCTCTCAGGACCCAGACACTTCACTAGGTCCCACTGGCACAAGTTTTGGTGGGGACAAATTATATCCGAACCACAGCAGGCACCAATAAAATAAAAATACTTTTAAAATAGTGAAAGTGTTAGACTCTTGTATATTACTATTTTTTTCTATTAAGAAAAAATAATTTAAATGTATGATTTCAATTATATTTGGAAAATGTACCCTTTTGTTTCAGACTGCTAACAAGTGATTTGTTTCTGCCCCCCACACAAACACTATTCTTCTTTCTCTTCAGATATCTATTCAGTACACATTTTGACAATGGATCCAAAATAATGAATTTTTAGCATTTAAGTCCTTAGTATCACTTTGGAAACAAGTAAATCATATATTGATGTTTTACATTGGCATTCATGTTATTTTATGTCTGTATAATGATGTCCGTAATGTATGGATTCACTATCCGGTTTAATTTAAAAATTAGAAGGAAAAAATGTTTTCCTATGCATATACTCTTTACAGACAATAAAGCAATTGCCTATGCATTATCTCACATGGCCTTGAAAAGCTAGGATAGGTTTGCTTTTGCACCAGTTTTCTAAGTAAAGAAACAGAGATTTGGTAAAAATGAGCTGCCTGATGCAAGTCAGGATGTGGCACAGATGTGGAACCTCAGAAAAAGACTTTTGGATTCAAGATTAGCAGTAGGGTACTGGATTTTTAATAGGCTTGAGTTTTATAATCAGAAAACAATGAGATGTGAAGCCTGAGTCTGCTTTTCATCACTGGCCAAGCTACGTGTCTTCCCTGTTAGAAATTTTGGTTCATTCAGTCTTGATTTTTTTATTTGTAAAGCAATAATAATACATTTACTCCATTGGGTAAGAATTTTATAAGATAAAGTGATAAAGTCAATGAAAATTGCCTAGTACAATGCCTATTACATAGCAAATGTAACAAAGATATAGTTGGTCCTGTCTCTTATTTTTATTTCACAGTAGTTAGTGGAAGGGATACAAGGGCTGATCAAGAAAAAAGGGATGGGATAACCACCAGGTGGCAGAAGAACAAAATTAAGTTTATTTAGGTGATGCTTTGACAGATTTATATGCAGGGAAGGCCCTCATAGCATGAGAACCATGCAGGGGCCACCACCTAGAAGGAGAAGGGAGCAAGATAATACCTAAGGAGAATGAGGATTGAAGAGGGGGCTCGCATGTCTAGGTGGTATCACTTAGCTTCCCAGGAGGAATCTCTGGGGCAGAGAGCTCTGACAGGCAGCATGTGGTCTATACAAACCTAGGGTTTTTCTAATCTACGGCTAATAGATGTTGGTAAGTTTTGTGTAGTATGCAAAACGAGTGGGCTGTAAATGGCTGAAAATCTGTTTATTGGGGTTTTATTTTAAACAATTGAATGTGAAAAGTTAGGCTTGGTGCCAGCAGGATTATGAGGTAACAGGTATTGGCCTCCTGGTAAGAAGTAAGCAACATAGGACCAATATACAAATACCATCTTTGCCTCATTTATATATACATCAATCACTACCCAAAGAAAAGTAAGATGAAATAGCAACAGCTTTTATTTTCAGCACTGTGAAGTTCACATTTTGTTTTATATGTATATATACATATGGTTATCTATATGTATATATATTATTTTCATTTGCAAATGACTTATATGCCTTATAATGGAAAAAATGTAATAATGTGGCTTAATAAAATAACCAATACAAAGTAAGGATGACAATAAATATGTATTAGCAGTTCAGATACAAAAACTAAAAATCTCACATGTTGACATTTATTTCTATTTGTAAAAATAAATTTATTAAAACTGAGGCTAGGCACAGTGGCTCATGCCTATAATCCCAGCATTTGGGAGGCCAAGGTGAGTGGATTACTTGAGGCAAGGAGTTCGAGACCAGCCTGGCAAACATGATGAAACCCCGTCTCTACTAAAAATACAAAAATTAGCCGGGTGTGGTGGTGCATGCTTGTAATCACAGCTACTTGGGAGGTTGAGGCAGGAGAATCACTTGAACCTGGGAGGCAGAGGTTGTGGTGAGCTGAGATCATGCCACTGCCCTCCAGCCTGGGCAACAGAGAGAGACTCCATCTCAAAAAAAGAAAAAAAACTGAATTGTACCACTTAAATAGTTTTTGTAATGGAAATATTTGTTTAATTCAATGTCTGACTCACAGTTGAAGAAAATACTGAAAGTAAAGTCTCATCCCCAAAATAGCTAGTGGCCAGTATATACAGGCAAGTGAACATGAGTGATACCAATCCACATCCTCAGCAGTGCCACACCATCTTTCCCTGGTAATGCTTCTCTTGGAAAATGATTGTGTGGAGATAGAATACAGTATCAGTCACACATCTGAAGTCCCTCACATAGTGTCTACTACATATAAAACACTAATAAGTAACAAATTTTAGCATTAATTTTGTTAATAATACAGCATAAAACACTTTTAAACTAACTATAAACAAGAAATCACCTTAGAAATCATAGAAGTTGAAAAAGAAAGTCAAGAACAAAGGAACAATTTTTCTAAGTTAGAGAAATTTGTGCATGTGGTGTTGTTCCTTCTTTGGTCTTTTGATACCTTAAAAGAACATTAAAGTTCTATTCACTTATTTAAAAGTTCAGAGTCCACAAGAGGTGAGCGTCTCTCTCACTAGCCACAAGACTCTTTATCATTATTTGAATAATTCAGTAAAATATGTCTAAGCCATTAACTTCTTTTGCAAAGTTGGTTTAAAAATTCCCTCAATTTAATAACACCTAATTTTGATATTATTAATTATCACTTTCTCAGTTTCCAAAATGTCATGCATCTCTCCATTTAAACACCATTTTTCTGAAATTTCTGAACATTGTTTAATTTTTTTCCTAACTCTTTATGCTACTTTTTGGCATCTAACTTCTTGCTTTGAGTACCTCTGAGACTAACTCCATCAAGCATGACTTTCCAATAATTCCTAGACATTCTCGTTTATTTTCAGATGTGGCTGCTTATATTCCCTCTTGTCAAATAAAAATAATATCAGTTTGGGCATAATATTTATTCTCTCAAAAATAATCTGCTTCCCGTTTCATAGTTTATCCACTTAGGATTCCACTAGATTGCTTCCATAGTGGAAAGAGAGAACCAGGTTTATAATGCAGTGCAATATAATAAAATCTCATTTCTGAAAAGTCTGCAAAGTGCTAGACAAGGTCAGTGGGTACCGGAATAATTTTGAGCTATGGTATACAAGATAAAATATCCTTTCTAAATTCTTACCTTTGGACAATCAGTCTTTGTAAGGACCTACAAGAGGGTCAGAATAGTAAAATAGAATAATAATAATGGCTGCCCCAAAATGTCACACATTTAATTCAAGAACCTTGGAGAAGCAGTGGTAAGGGACATTTTTAACAGTTACCAAAGTATAATTTGCTTCCTATCATTGCATAATGTTATTTCCCTATAAACAGTGTGGTTGTCTTATTATTTCTGAAACATTGATCACTTTACTGTTCCTTTATTCTAACAGGCAAAGTTTCCATTGAGCCCATGTAAACAGTGTTTTCTTGGTTGATTCTGAGTCTTATGTTAATTTTCATGTTACTTGAGATTGCATTTATGCTAATAATATTCTAAATCTAATAACCATATATTTAGAGAGTAGCAAGGATGCATATACTGTGAGTTAATAACATAATACAATACTCTGGAAAATTGCTGACAAAATATAAAATATCCACTCACTGTAATTTCCCAAACTTCTCTTGACTGCACTAAGGATCCAGATGCTGACATGGACAAAGCTAGCTTCAAACTGCATCTTAAAGGTCATATCATGTTTCATTTGCCTCTTCACATCTCAGTTTTTTCGTCATAAAACCTGTGATAATAACCCCTACATTAACCCTCACTGAAATTTTGATGAGGCAGTGAGATGCTGGGTTTAAAACTGTTTTGTGTGTATGCACTGCACACAAGTAAATTTGTTAGACATAATTTTGATCCTCCTTTCTGAAAATTTGACAGAATTGTTCAATGAAATCATTGAGACACAAGAATCATAAACTCTTCCTTTATGGCCCTCTTAGTCATGATGTGAACCAAGGCCGATGAAGAGTTACTTCTCATAAAGTGCTGGAGTTAGACAGACCAGTAAGTTGTAAAGGTGCTAATTGAAAAGAACAAGGGGTGATTTTTCTACTTCAGGAGTCTATAAACTTATGAAGATACAAGAAGGTAAGTCATGGCAATATCAACCAATTGCCATATAAGAATACCAACATGAGCAAAGGTGGTAGGAGTAGAGGAGCTCATAGACTTGCCTGAACAATAAGGGGGGCAAACATGGATGACCTGAAACCCGAAGTTCATTATGAAGATAAGATGACAGTCTGAGCTGTACAAAGACACTCTTGTTCTGAGAGTGGGTTGTGAGCACTATGACTAGGTAGTTCAGGGCACAGGCTGAAGAAAGGTAGGACAGGGTTGGGTAATGATGGGTTCAGGATTTACTCTGTATGTGATTGTATGCTGCATAAGAATATTCAGAGTCTATAAATGATATAAAGGCCCATAAAATATCTACGATGGAAGCCAAAGTACATTGTTGATTATAGATGGAGCCAAGACAGGAACGCGTGGTGGTAAATTAGGAACATATAAACTTTAATTAGGTACACCACAAATTATGGTATGACAGGGATCTGAAAACAATGGATTAGACCCATATTTAAGAATATGTATTACTCCAAAATAAGTAATTGAGTAGTTTGAACACAGAGCAAGAAAATGAATTTATTTCATAAATTATAACTTATAAAATGAAATCAGTAATTCAGCACACAGTGAAAATTATCCAGGGAATTGTAGCAGGTATACACATACTTCCCATACTATCACTACTGTGTAAAACTTCTAAATGACCTCTTCGTGGAATTCCTACCATGTATGTGTATGTGTGTGCACACGAGTAAATGTGCACATGTGTTTTGTGTGAAAATAACTGCTGGATAGCAGCCAATGAAGGAAACCTCCAGAGACCTTGTGTTCATTGCACAATAAAAAGTACAGATAAAATGTGGTATTGACATAAGTATTTTATAATTTGAAAACTCTTTCATGGTAGCATCTGGGCAGTTTAACTGAGTGTTTTATAGCTATGATATATTGGGTTTCCTCTGAGGGCACTGGACAGAGATTTACAAACTGCAACAGAACTCTGAAGCATAACCTATCTTACCTGGAGAAGGATAAATGAGAAGGCCCGTTAGTTACTGCTGGTTTCATTTAAAAGGCCAATCAGCTATTTCTGATAACTTTGACATTTTTGTCATTATTTTGCATCTATTTGTGCCCATTTTGCAATATCCCTTGTTACTCTTCTGCAGTTTGCAATTCTCACTTTTTATTCTCCCAGGGCTCAGTTAATATAGAAGAAATGTATTCCAATCCTGTCTATAAAATGTATCTTTCTTTGAAATAACTGCATTCATTCTCAAGTACAGAAAGCACATAACAATATATAGTCCTGATTTTTAACCTTATTAAAGGTATAGCTGGCAAGTTCTATTCTGGTTCTTATCAATATGCTGAACAGCAAAACATTTGGTTTCATTCTACCCAGTCAACCCCCAACATGGTTATCTGAGGTTTTATGGCAGCTCCAGCTTGGAAGGAAGCTTCCTTTAAATTTGTAGAAGAATCAAATAGAAAAGTAGCTTGGAATTTTGTTCTTGACCTCTCCTCTGACAATTCTTTATGACAGTCAGAGCTGGTGTCAGATACTTGAACCAGAGAAAAGCTGAAGCAACCTGGTGGAGACTGTGTAGGTGATTCTTCACCTTCCTTTTGTCCTCTATATATTATGACTTCACTTCTCTAACTCAGATCCTCTTGCATCATCTCTTATTTCAGTCATGACCAGAGTTAACAGCTCTGGGCAGGTTTTCTCCCACTCCACTCTGAAATCATGTTGTCTTAGGTATGGACCATGTGGTTTCTGTCCTTTGGCACATTAGGAGCCTCTACTAGCATCAATTGTTCCATTTACCAATATCGCGATTACGTACTTAATAATATTATCAACTACATAATATCAATATTAGGCTAAGAGATCCATTTCATACATAAGGAGGTTGTACAGGAAAAGGTTAACTCAGCAGGCCTGTGTTGCTCAAACCATGCACATTTGAAGAAAAAGACCTGTCTTCAGGAGAGATCCTTGGGTGACTCCCAGGAGGTAACCTCTGAGCTTTCAAAATTTTCTGCCTAATAATAATGTATCTGTATGCCTATGTCTTTGGGCCACACTATACCAGTGTGACTAGATAAGTTTATCCTAATAATGTGATTTATTGTTGATGCCTATTTGTGTTCTGAGATGCTGTGATCTGAATAGTTGAGGTCAGTTACAGGGCTGCTGAATGTTTACACAATTAATCCTGAATGAAAATCCTGGACACCAAGACTCAGTTGAGCTTCTTTCACTGGTAACACTTTCTACTTGTCAGACATCATCTCTTGGAGAATTAATCATATCTTTTGCAATTTCATTGGGGAATCGACATGTGGATGCTCACAACAGGCTTCTCTTGGATTTCTCCAACCCCCTTTGCTGATTTTAATCTGCAAACTTCAAATGTCATAAACTAAAATTGTGAGTATAATAACTTTTTCTGAGTTCTGTGAGTCATTCTAGTGAATCATAGTCTGCGGGTGGTCTTAGGGACCTCAAAGCCAGAGGTATAACCTAAAGACAACTACTAGCTAGTAATATCTGCTCATAGGTGCCACTGGTTCTA
The DNA here is from genome assembly GCF_000001405.40 of Homo sapiens. Classification (NCBI taxonomy): domain Eukaryota; kingdom Metazoa; phylum Chordata; class Mammalia; order Primates; family Hominidae; genus Homo; species Homo sapiens. The sequence continues at coordinate 49,160,920 of NC_000007.14, read as the reverse complement.
CCATATACTATCTCACTGGAAAGCATTTGGTCTCATAGAACAGTGGCATGAAAGACTTAGTTAATTCATCAGTCTGGGAGCAACACACCAGTGACTGATGGCAGGCACTGTTATTCCAAGAAGTGGAGTATGTACTGATGTAAGAGAAATGTCCTTTATAGCTACAGTACTTGAGTCTAGAAATTTAAGGATGGAACGTGGAATTGCCATTGTAAATGCCTATGCTCTACATGTGTAATTATAGCTTCCATTCTTAGGGTCTCCTGGATAATACACTCCTTTTTCCTACTGATACAATATTTCCACTAAATTCACTGAGAGAAATCCCAGTGATATTTCCATTGAGCTTCAGCTATGACTACTATCTAATCATTCTAGGTTTCTCAAAATGTCAGACTATCAGGCTAAGACAGGAAAAAATACGATCATAGAAGTAGTTGACCAAGACTATAATCAGGGACTTGTTAAATAATGGGGGTTCTCTGATGATAACAGAAATAGACAATTACAGCAATCAATGCCAACAAGAGCGAGATACCAAGGCTTTGGTATTTTTCTCAGGGAAGATCTGAGTCATCCCACCAGAAAAGCAATCTAGACCAACTGAAATGTTCATTAAAGATAAAGGCAACTAGGATGAGTGGTGGAGGAGGTAGATAATGGTAATTATCAGTTACAACAAAGGAGATTGTAGCATCTATATCTATATCTATTTTTTTTTTTTTTTGAGATAGGACTTCGTTCTTGTTGCCCAGGCTGGAGTGCAATGGCGCGATCTTGGCTCACCACAACCTCCGCCTCCTGGGTTCAAGGGATTCTCCTGCCTCAACCTCCCGAGTAGCTGGGACTGCACCACCATGCCCGGCTAATTTTGTATTTCTAGGAGAGACGAGGTTGGTCAGAGTGGTCTCAAACTCCCGACCCGAGGTGATCTGCCCCTCTCGGCCTCCCAAAGTGCTGGGATTAGAGGCATCAGCCACTGTGCCCGGCCATAGCTTATATATTTTAACCATTGTTATTGTTTTAAAGAGACTGCAGCTATACAGTATCAGAGGTTTAATCAATAGAGTGCTGCACTTAAGGTCATGTGAGGATCTCAACAATGCAGGACGTGGACTGGGGCTGACAACTTTGCTGCTTATGTTTCACTCTCTAGGTCTTGGCAGTCTCGGGTAGAACAGAACTTCCAGGAAGCTCTCAACTGGTTTCCTGCCAAGCGTTTTGCCTCAAGTGTGCACAATATATCTTTATTTTCTTACTCCATAGCTACTCAGGATATACTATCACCATGGGGAAAATGAAATCACAGGCCAAAATAAGGGGCAATTCCTTTAAAACAGAATTGACTGACAAGAGGATATAACTAGAATTAAGATTTTCTGGTGAACATTATGAAGTAAATAAGAAACAAAGCAGTGGAAGATGTAGGCAAGGGAATGATTATAACAATAGACTTAGAGTGAAACTGATTAATCAGTATTTAACTAAGGCATGAGAGTGATGAGGCTACCTACCAATTACTGTTTCCCCTCCTCCTCCTCCTCTTGACCGTCTTCTTTTTCTTCTTCTCTTTCTCCTTTTTCTCTATCTTTCCCTCCCTTTTTCTCCTCCTCCTTCTCCTTTGCCCCCTCCTTTCCTCCTCATTCTCCTTCTTCTCCCTGTAACTCTTTCCCTACCCTTCCCCCCAACCTTTGGAGAGTAAACACATAAGAACCATGTTTGCTGCAGAGTCTCCATTTTTAGACAATAATTATTTATTAAAATGCTCTAAATCCTCATTTACATCATTAAGAAATTATTAAGTTTTCTGTGTGAGGCTGTCAGTTTAGAAAGTTTTGCCTGAAGATTTGATGTGGCATTAGACTCCATGTTAAATGTTTCCTTCTGACACTAATTATTTTATATGTCATACTGCTAAAGTGATTTGTAATTCATACTTCCCATGCACACAACTAAATTTGTCTGCTTGTGCTGCTGTAAGAAGTACTACAAACTGGGGGGCTTAAACAACAGAACTGTATTTTCCCACAGTTCTACAGGCTGAAAGCCCAAGATCAAAGTGTTGGCAGAGTTTGTCCTTGTGAGGGCTCTCGTCTTGGCTTGCAGATTGCCACCTTCTTAATGTGCCCTCATTTGGCCTTTCCACTGGGTGCAAGACAGAGAGAGAGAGACAGAGAGAAAGAGAGAGAGAGAGATAACTCTCTCTCTCTTTATTTCTTTATTTTCTTTCTTTCTTTATTTTCTTATAATGACACCAATCCTATTATATTATGGTCCCACCCTTATGACCTGTGCCCTGTACTCCAAATACCATGTAAAAAGTTATCTTATCTCTCCTATCTATCCCGTAGGAGGTGAATGAGTTCCAAGAGGGTGGGAACTTCACCTGTGTTATTTGCTATTCCATCCAAACCACTTGGCAGAGTTTAGTACATGGAAGTTGACAAATATATACTGATTACGTGAATTGCTGAGTGAATGTATGAACAAATAAATTAATAAGACTACAATCTTTACTTATGAACTCTAAGAAGTTTCCATAAGGAAATATGAAATATCTCAATATAAATGTGAACTTTTGAGTCATGATTCCCTGTCCTGTATCATTAGGCAAGTCTAAAATAAAAATTAAAGGACTTATTCAAACTACAGAAAGTAAAGCAATAATTAATCACAATTTCTTGTTTTCAAAAATTAATATATAAAACATCCTGTATACCGTAGAGTTTATATTGTCACTAGGTAAAAATTCAGAATGACAGAGGGCCATAATGTGTCCAGAATTGTTGTTCTTGGTCTCGCTGACTTCAAGGATGAAGCCACGGACCGTCGCGGTGAGTGTTACAGCTCTTAAAAACGGTGTATCCGGAGTTTGTTCCTTCAAATGTTCAGATGTGTCCGGAGTTTCTTCCCTCTGGTGGGTTCGTGGTCTCGTTGACTTCAAGAGTGGAGCTACAGACCTTCACAGTGAGTGTTACAGCTCTTAAAGGCAGCGCCTCTGGAGTTGTTCATTCCTCCCGGTAGGTTCATGGTCTCGCTGGCTTCAGGAGTGAAGCTGCAGACCTTCGGGATGAGTGTTACAGCTCATAAAGGCGGTGCAACCCAAAGAGTGAGCAGCAGCAAGCTTTATTGTGAAGAGTGAAAGAACAAACCTTCCACAACGCGGAAGGGGACCTGGAGCAGGTGGCTGCTGCTGGCTCTGGTGGCCTGATTTTATTCTCTTATCTGGCCCCACCCACATCCTGCTGATTGGTCCATTTTACAGAGAAGCTGATTGGTCCATTTTACAGAGCACTGAATGGTGCGTTTACAAACCCCCACAGCCCTGAGGGGCTCCTTGAGCATGGCCAGAGCAGACACGAGGCTGAGGAGGCACCTAGAGAGAGTGAGGGCTGCTAGCACGTTGTCACCTCTCAATAACAGTACTTAATACTGGGGAAACTGGAGGAATGGTTCTCAGCTAAATTAGATTTTTTCTATAAAGCTCTGTTACTTAAGTGAGGAACACAAAAATATTTCTCTAATATTGATTAATACTTCTCAATAATATGTATTCAAATAATACATATTTCAAAAAATGGTAATGTTGATTGTTGATATGATTAGCCTTTGTGTCCTCACCCAAACGTCTCCAAATGGAGATTATCTCGATAATCTCCACATGTTAGGGGAGAGACCATGTGGAGGTAATTGGATCATGGGGGCGATTTTTCCCATGCTGTTCTCATGATAGGGAGTGAGTTCTCACCATATCTGATGGTTTTGTAAGTGTTTGGTAGCCTCTCCTGCATTCATTCTCCTTCCTCACGCTTTCTGAAGAAGGTGTCTTGCTTCCCCTTCACCTTCCACCATGATTGTAAGTTTCCTTAGGCCTCCCCAGCCACGCTGAACTGTGAGTCAATTAAATCTCTTTCCTTTATAAATTACCCAGTCTTAGGCAGTTCTTTACAGCAGTGTGTAAATGAACTAATACAATTGTTATTGTTCTAAATGGTTTATATGGGTTAATTTATTGAAGTTGATGTTTCCATTTTCTCAATTTTTGTTGATCAAAAAACTGAGTTACAGAAATATTAAATAGCACACCCAAAGTCACACATATATAGCAAGGGATAGCACTGATATTTCAACCAAGGAAGTCCAGCACTAGAGCCAGGTCTCTCAAATATAATACTCATCCTTATAGCAAAGGCAAAATTATGGTTTATTATGTCTTTATTTTGGGATAAGACATAAAAGGTATTCATGTGTACATATACACAAACAATGCTTGTTAGTGGCTTATCTTGGCAGATGATAACTGATATATTTTATTGCTTGTATAAAATATATTTTAATATTACTGATATTGTTTCTAAAGCCAATATATCATTATTATTTTTGAAAATACTGAAATCACTTACAACCTAGAGGGGAAATAAGAAAAGCAAACAAATACATAGTAGAGTGCAAAATCTAAGATTTGGATGTGCCATGATACATGACCCAAAGCTGTAACTTGGACAGTATTTTTTTTATATACTTTAAATTTTAGGGTACATGTGCACAACTTGCAGGTTTGTTACATATGTATACATGTGCCATGTTGGTGTGCTGCACCCATTAACTCGTCATTTAGCATTAGGTATATCTCCGAATGCTATCCCTCCCCACTCCCCCCACCCCACAACAGGCCCCGGTGTGTGATATTCCCCTGTGTCCATGTGTTCTCATCTTGGACAGTATTTTCAAATGAGATTTAGTTTCTTTTCTTAAGTACCTCTTCTTGTTCTACCCTATGTTTTATTGGTATTAGTTTGGGTCTTTGTAATTGTTTATAAACATTTATCTTATAATGGAAAATTTAAATAGCGATCAACTCTGATGCATTGTAAATCCAACAGTCTAAAATTGCTTTGTAAAACTTGGTGATTTATTCAATTAGTTAAATAACACTCTCAGAGGTTTGCAATGATTTACTGACTTTTACTGCTAGAGATATTCATGAAAATAACCTTCAAAAATACCTATTTGTAAACATTTTAATCAAAAGATCTATTCCATCACTTGGTGGTGGTCTATGGGAGGAATATTGAGTTGCTACACATTTAATCATCCTTATTAGCTAAACACTACGTTTAGCTTTTATCTTCAGAACCAATTTCCTTCTACTATATTTGTAGGGAGAATTCTATGAAAGGAAATACTAGTTAAGTATTCAGTTGAGGCATGAACTAACTTGAGCTTACACAATTGCTTTAATAATTCCATAGGTAAACAATCACAAGTTACAGAAAATAGGAGAACACTTAAGTAATCACAATTTGCTAGTTTTAGAAAACTAATTTTTGTCCTTTTCATAATCTTAGAAAGATTATCCAAAGATGTGGAATAAAAAAAAATGTTTTTGTCAGGAATAATATAAAGGCCACAAAAAGATATTATTTTTCTTTCAATTGGTCATATAATTAACTAGTGAGTCAAAAATAAGAAACCCTCAAGTATCTTTGAAGGTAACAGTGACATAAATTAAGTATGCAGATGTGAGTTTAAATCAGCATTGTAAATGTAATCAGTATATTCAAGCAAAAGCCAAAATACAAATCTTGAAGATAAAACAAAATGTGGTTTTGTTTTGTTTTTATTGGAATAAAACATTCTACAATAAGAAGCTGGATGAGTAAACTTAGATTGAAATAAGCAAGCTGGAGAATAGTAGGACTAAGCTTCACTAACATTTTTGTGGTGCTTATAAAAGATTTGAAAGCCACAGGCTTTGTTCTTGACTTTGGTAGGTAACAAAATATAGTCAAAGTATGTACTCGAGAAACTATATTCTGAAATAAAATTAAAGCCAGCTAGCTACTAACAGATTTTTAAAATAAATTTATGGAGAAATCAGGATCAATGTTAAACCCAATGAACGTGGAATTATTGTCTTCAGAAGTTGGGAAGTAAATGAAATATCTATTTGGGGACAGCATATTAAATATTTTCTGGGAAAATATTAACATTTGTCTCCAAAATGTATTGAATAGTTTCAATATGCTCTGAAAATTCCTATGAGCTTTGCAATTTTAAGTATATTTTTTAAATACAAAATTTTCAAACATCCCCCACTTGAATGGGTCCAAGCAATTGGCGAAACTACCTAGTGTGGGAGGGGGAGTCATGTCTAGAAAAGAGTATTAGAGCAACACCTCTAGAGGGTAGCAGTATCTGGACAGCATGTTTGGGGCTGTGGAAATGGCCCTGGTGGCTAAGAGATTATGTACAGAAATAATACATTCATAAGTAAATATATTTAATATAATGAAAGCCAGGTTATAGAATGCAGTTAAGAACATGGGAAATGAACAAGGCTACAATTAATCCTGTGGTACTTGATGATAATCCAGGGTCTAGATGTAATCTCATGATTAATATTCATATAAAAGATAAATATGTACATAGATACAGATGTGTGTGTGTATGTGCATATACATGCATTTATCTTTTAGCTCTTTCTGCTGAGGGGCACTAGAAGTAATAACACCCAAGTAATAAAGGGTTAGGGATCCTTGATATCAGGACTGGGCAGAGAAAACACAAGATGAGCCTGAACATTTTGTGCCAGAGTGTAAGAAAGTGCTCCAAGAGTGACAGGGCCTCTCAAAGAGACATAGGATGTAGCTTGATGAGTTTCCCACTAGCCAAGCCTGGGAAATATTGAATTTCAAAATAAATAATGATCCTAACAAATTGTGACATTAACGATTCTACTTAACACTGAGTTAAATAGAAATGTAAGAGTCCACACTGATATAAATCAATGGAAAAGGGAGATTGGTAAGCTCTACCTTATGGTAGAATTCAACTAATAAATATAAATGGAATAGTAGAATTTAAAAGCATCATATGGCTTCCGTAACAGTAACATTAGATTCCTGTGAGGAATCAGCAACAAGTGCTGAAATCAATGAATAAGTTTCATGTGGAATGAGGTATTTATACAGTGTCAAAATATCTTCTATTTAATTTGAATTAATTAACTATTCTAATGTAATTATTAGTTAGCTTTCTAGTTCAGAAAAACCTAGATATCATGGTTACAAAGTGAAAAGCTTATAACCAATAACAGAACAAACCAAAATCATGTTCTCCTGCTGTTGCGAGAACAAACCATCATTACAAAGATATGCCCAAAATGTATATAATATGAGAAAACATCAAGCAAACCCCAAATGAGGAATGTTCTACAGGGGAAATAGCCTGTAGTTATCGAAATATTAAAGTAATGAAGAGCAGAGAACAAAAAGTATGAGAAATTGTTTCCAATTGACAAACACTAAGAAGACATGACAATTAAATAAAACATGATTATAGATGGGATTGTGAATCAATGTAGAAAACTATTAAGACAATTGGTGAAATTTAAATGTGGTCTGAGGGTTAGATAGTAATATTAATTTCTTAATTTTTATTTTGCACTATGGTTACATAGGAGAGTGTTATTTAAAAAGTAAATACAAGCATTAAGGAGTTAAGTGGCAACATATTTGCAACTTGCTTTCAAATGATTCAGAAAAAAAGTGTGTGTGTGTGTGTTTGTGTGAGTGTGTGTTTGTGTGTGAAAAGACAGAGGGAGAATTTGCAAATGTACAAAACATAGAAGGAATAATACAAGCCAATGCCCATCACCCAAATTTAACAAATAGCAATATTTTGATACATACGTTAATTGCTTCATCAATCCATTCTAACCTGCTGAATCATTTTACAGAAATTTCTAGGTGTTTTATAATTTCACATTTAGATATATACCTATGTAGATTCTTGTAATCAGGAAATAGGAATTTCCATCACTCCAGAATCCTCACTCATACTACCTCCTTAAAAACATAAATTCCCCCAATCTTTCTGTCAGGGCCACATTGCCTCATTATTTTAGAAATAATGATTTCTCCCACTTTACTGTTCTTTTTCAAAGTTGTTTCAGATATTCCAGGGCTTTCTTTTTCCATTTACATTTAGGATGAGCTTGTTCATAACAACTCTTGCTGAGATGTTGGTAAGAATTGCATTAAACCTGTAGATCAATTTAGAGATAATTGACATCTTTATTATGTTGTGTCTTCTAATTTATAAACACATGATGTCTCTGCTTATTTAGGTCTTCTTTCATCAACATTTTGTATTTTTTAGCATACAATACTTGACATTCTTTCTTAAATGTATACTCAAATGTGCAATTTTTGTTAGAGCAATTATAAATGATGTGGGTTTTAAAATTTTGTTCCCACTTCTCTGTTAGTAAATAGAAATGCAATTAAATTGTGTGTGATGTTTGTGCATCCCAAGACCTTACCGTACTCTCTTGTTACTTCTAGGTTTTGTGTAGTTAATTATTTGGAATATTCTGTGTATACAATCAGGTCATCATCTGCAATGAGCAAGAGCATTATGTCTTCTTTTCCAAACTAAACGATTTATTTTTTCGTGGCTTATTACAGGGCCTAGAATTTTCAGTATTATGTTGAATAAGGGCAGAGAGTAGATATCATTGCCTTGTTGCTGATCTTTGAGGAAAAACATTACCTTTTGTTATTATGATGGTAGCTTTTGGATTTTGTAGATTTTTAAAAATAGTATTTCACACATTTCCCTCTACTTCTAGTACACAGATGAATGGATTTTGTGAAATGCTTTCTGTGCAATTTATGTAAATAATTTTTTCTTCTTTAGTTGGTTAATATGGCGAATTACAGTGATTGATTTCCTAAGGATGAAACAGACTTGCATAACTGGAGAAAATCCCACTTAATTGTGCTGTATGTTTTTATATTGTTGGATTTAGTTTACTAATGTTGTTAATTCTTCTTTGAATATTTTGTTGAATTTTTCAGTGAATTCTAGTGGGCCCGTGAGTTTATTTTTCCTAAGTTTTAAAATTATGAATTTAGTTTCCTTAATACTTACTTATTTGTTTCACACTTGGTAATTATTTGTCTTACATTTGGTGAATTGTGATGGTTTGTGCTTCTAGAGGAATTCATTCACTGGTTGTAAAATCTTTGTGTGTAGAGCTGTGCATTCTATTCTCTTATCATTGTGATATTTGCAGGGTTTCTAATGATAGTCTGTTTCATGCCTGCTGCTAGTAATTCATGTTTTTTCTTTTAATGCTACTCTTACTAGAGATTTGGTGCTCTTATTAAAAATCTTAAAAACGTTTTGTGTCAATTTTTTTCTCTAGAGTTTCTTTATTTATGGTTTTCTCTTTATTATATTCTTCCTTCTGTCACTTTGTGTTTATTTGGCTCTTCCTTTCATAGTTTTCTGAAGTAGAAGCTCATTTTCCTGATTTTGGACTTTTCTTCTTTTCCACTATATGAATGTATTGCTATAAAATATGCCCCGACCCCCGCCACCCAGCACTGACTTAGCTGCATCCTACACATTTTAGTTCAATGTAGGATGTATGTTTGAGAGATGGTTTGTTCTTCCTTTGGGAGAGTCTGGCGACTGCAGGCTTTAGTGACTAAACTACTTTCTCTAAAACAAATGGCCAAGATAGTACTTGCCTTTCCCTTCACCAATTGCCAACAAACTAAGCAAACTGCTTAGTTTGGGATTCTTCCCTGGGAGGAGCATGAGACTGTTTGCAGAGTTTAAATAAGTACATACTAAATAAACTCCTCTATGAAAAGCAAAGTTTCTTTTTTTTTTTTTTGCCTGCTTGAGAATTAAATAAGGCAATCTCAATATATGTTTAATGTGATTACAATATTTTAGATATAAAATTAGGCCACCTGGCACTTAGGTTATTCAGTTACTTTTTAATTACAGGATTGTGTGTCTGGATGACATTAAGATTAAAGGGAAGGTATGACCTAATTTTTCATTTTTTTTTCAGTGGATTTCAGCATTGGAGAGCTGAAGCCATTCTTCTTATTAAAGCACATCTGTGGAGAGTCCGTTATTTAAAACATGAATAAATATTGAGGATTGTTAATTCTCAGATTTAATAAGCTACTTGCCGTTACATTTTCTCCCCAATCTAGTGAGAATATTTTGGAATTCATGCTAAACTGCCTGCTGACAGCAAAGAGCATTATTATTGTTTTGATCTTCGTATTATGACAGAGAGCTAATATGGAATGAGCAACAATTTATTGCTAAAAACCTCCCTCAGAGACATACCTCTTTTATTAAGAGGTATGATATCGCTCTAATGAAGTAAGCCTCACAAATGATTATTTCTGGTCACTGGATGAGGTTCAGATGAGACAGATGGAAATAATAAATGATGTCAGGCAAGATGCTCCCTGCCAGATGTTGAACAATAATAAATATTTATCGCAGAAGATAAAAGTTTTACTTTATTCTCATATTGTATATATAACCTGCTTGTTTTCTTGCTTGAAACTGACAGATACAATGCTGGTTGCTTTCTGGAAAGAACATGTCTTTGAAACAAGCTGAAGGGCTACGAATAGTCATTTCCTTAAAGCAGATGCCTGGGTGCTGGTGGCTGCCAGCCTTCCTCCAGAGTTCATTGATTTTATTTCTCAGTACACCAAATAAAAGTAACAGGGCTGTGCTCCTAGCAGAGAAACTAATTTTGTCAGTGGTGACATCAGGTACCCCAGAAAAGGGCTGATTTCATATTGGGGAATAGAAATGTGAGCCAAGTTGCTGTTAAACTGGAAGGTTTCCTGGTCCCAGAGTGCCCTGAACACATTTGCCCTGTGGACTCCCTGCTGTGAAAGAGAAATAGAAACAGCGAAGACACTTATTGGTGGCTCCATTGTCTCAAAGAATACAGAATTGTCCCATTAAAAGTCCCCTTCTGTGTTGCTTTTGAGTGCTTTGAAAAACTTCACAAAACATCTACATGTATTTATTTTAAAAGTAAATACTATATACATACTTGGAATCCACTCATGACAAAATATCAAATACACTTACAGCAAAATAATGAAGCTGTAATGAAGAGGCTTACTGAACTAATGGTTTTTTAAAACATTTTATTTCAACAGTTTTCGGAGTACAGGTGGATTTTGTTATAAGAATAAATCCTTTAGTGGTAATTTCTGAGATTTTAGTGTACCCACCAACCAAACAGTGTACTCTTTACCCAATATGTAGTCTTTTATCTCTCATCCCCCTCCCAACCTTTCCCTTTTAGTCCCCAGAGTCCATCATATAGTTCCTATGCATTTGCATCTTCATCGCTTAGCTACCACTTATAAGTGAGAACATAGAATATTTGGTTTTCCATTCTTGAGTTACATCATTTAGAGTATTGTCCTCCAGCTCCATCCAAGTTGCTGCAAAATACAGTATTGTGTTCCTTTTTATGGCTGAGTAGTATTCCATGGTGTATATATACCACATTTTCTTTATCCACTCATTGGTTGATGGGCGCTTATGTTGGTTCCTTATCTTCACAATTGCAAACTGTGCTGCTGTAAACATGCACGTACATGCATCTTTTTCATATACTGAGTTCTTTTCCTTTGGGTAAATACCCAGGAGTGGGATTGCTGGATCAAATGGTCATTCTGCTTTTATTTCTTTAAGGAAACTTGGTGCTGTTTTCCGTAGTGGTTGTACTAATTTACATTTCCACCAGCAGTGTAAAAGTATTCCCTTTTCACCACATCCATGCCAACATCTGTTTTTTGACTTTTTATTATGGCCATTCTTGCAGGAGTAAGGTAGAATCCCATTGCGCTTTTAATTTGCATTTTTCTAATAATTAGTGTTGTTGAGCATTTTTTCATATGTTTGTTGGCTGTTTATATCTCCTTTTGAGAACTGTCTAGTCATGTCATTTGCCTACTTTTTGATGAGATTCCTTCTTTCTTATTTGTTTGAGTTCCATGTGGATTCTGCATGTTACTCCTTTGTTGGATGCATAGTTTGTGAATGTTTTCTTTTGTTCTGTGGGTTGTCTATTTGCTCTGTTAATTATCTCTTTTGATGTGCAGAATATTTTAGTATACTTAGGTCTTATTTGTTTATTTTTGTTTCATTGCATTTGCTTTTGGTGTTTCAGTCATGAATTCTTTGCCTAAGCGAATGTCTAGAAGGATTTTTTCAATATTGTCTTGTAGAATTTTTATGGTTTCAGTTCTTAGGTTTAAGTATTTGATACATCTTGAGCTGATTTTCATATAAGGTGAGAGGAGAGGATCCAGTTTCATTCTTCTACATTTGACTTGCCAGTTTTCCCAGCATCATTTATTGAATGGGATGTTCTTTCCCCAATTTAAGTTTTTGTATGCTTTGTCAAAGATCAGTTGGCTGTATTTGGCTTAATTTCTGGGTTCTCTATTCTGTTTGATTGATCTATGTGCCATTTCTATACCAGTACCATGCTGCTTTAGTAATTAAAGCCTTGTAGTATAATTTGAAGTTGGATAATGTGATACTTCCAGATTTGCTCTTTTTACTTTGTATTGCTGCTGCTATGTGTGCTCTTTTTGGTTCCATATGAATTTTCATTTATTAATATTGTTTTTTTCTAGTTATATGAGGAATAATAGGGGTGTTTATATGGGAATTGCCCTGAATCTTTAGATTACTTTTGGCACTACGGTCATTTTCAAAATATTCATTATTTCCGTCTATGAGCATGGGATGTGTTTCTATTTGTTTGTGTCATCTATGATTTCTTTTAGCAGTGTTTTATAGTTTTCCGTGTAGAGAAATTTTACCTCCTTGCTGAAGTATATTCGTAGGTATTTTGATTATTTTTGCAGCTATTGTAAAAGGGATTGAGTTCTTGATTTGATTCTCAGCTTGGTCATTGTTGGTGTACAGCTGTACTACTGATTTGTGTATATTGATTTTATGTCCTGAGGCTTTCCTGAATTTGATCACTGGAGCTAGGAGCTTTTTGGACGAGTGTTTAGGATTTTCTAGGTATACAATCATATCATTGGCAAACAATGACAGTTTGACTTTCTCTTTTCCAATCTGGATGTTCTTGCTTGATTAATTTCTCTTATAAAATTGCGCTGGCCAAGATTTGCAGTACTGTATTGAACGGAAGTGGTGAAAATGAGTATCCTTGTCTTATTCCAATTCTTAGGGGGGAATGCTTTCAACTTTACCCCATTCCCTACGATGCTTGCCATGGGTTTGTCAGATTTGGCTTTTATTACTTTGACATAAGTTCCTCTTACTCTTATTTTGTTGAGGGCTTTTTATCATAAAGTTATGATGGCTATTATCAATTTTTTCTGCATCTATATGATCATACCTTTTTGTTTTTAATTCTGTTAATGTAATATATCACCTTTATTGACTTGCATACATGAAAGTATCCCTGTGTTCCTGGCATGAAATCCACTTAATCATGATGTGTTATCTTTTCTATATGATATGATACTGAATTTGGTTAGCTAGTATTTCATTGAGGATTTTTGCATCTCTGTTCATCAGGAATATTGTTCTGTAGTTTTGTTGTTGTTGTTATTATATCCCCTTTCTGGTTTTGGTATTAGAGTGACACTGGTTTCACAGAATAATTTAGGGAGGATTCCTTCTTTCTCTATCTTTTGAAATAGTTTCATTTGGATTGGTACCAATTCTTCTTTGAACGTCTGATACAATTTAGCTGTGAATTCCTCTGGTCTTAGGCTTTGATTTTAGCATTTTTTTTATTACTGATTCAATCTCACTGTTTGTTATTGGTCTATTCAGGGTTTCTATTTCTTCCTGATTTAAACTAGAAGGATTGTATATTTTCAGAAATTTATCCATTTCCTCTAGATTTTTTAGTTTGAATGTGTAAAGGTGTTCATAGTAACCTTGAATGATCCTTTGTATTTCTATGGTATCATTTGTAATATCTTCAGTTTCATTTCTAATTGAGCTTATTTGGGTGTGCTCTCTTCTTGGTCAATCTCACTAATGGTCTATCAATTTTACCTTTTCAAATACCATCATTTGTTTTATGTATTTTTTGTCTCAATATTATTTAGTTTTGACCATTGTTATTTCTTTTCTTCTGCTGAGTTAGGGTTGGTTTGTTCTTGTTTCTCTAGTTCCTTGAGGTTTGACCTTAGTTTGTCTATTTGTGTTCTTTCAGACTTTTCGATATAGACATTTAATACCATGAACTTTCCTCTTAGCACTGCTTTTGCTGTATCCCAGAGGTTCTGATGATTTTTGTCACCATTATTCATCTCGGAGAATTTTAAATTTTCATCTTGATTTCATTGTTAACCCAAAAGTCATTCAAAAGCAGATTAATTTCCATGTATTAGTTTAGTTTTGAGTGTTCCGTTTGGAACTGGTTTCCAGTTTTATTTCAAATGAGATACTTGATATGATTTCAATTTTCTTAAGTTGATTGGGACTTCTTTTGTGGTTCATTATATGGTCTATCTTGGGGAATGTTTAATATGCTGATGAGAAGAATGTATATTTGGTAGTTGTTGGGTAGAATGTTCTGTAAATATCTGTTAAGTCCATTTGTTCTGTAGTATAGTTTGAGTCCATTGTTTTTGTTGTTGTTGTTGACTTTCTGTCTTGATGATCTATCTAGTGCTGCCAGTGGATTATTGAAGTCTCCCACTATTGTTGTGTTGTCTATCTCATTTCTTAGGACTAGTAGTAATTGTTTTTTAAATCTGGGAGCTCTAGTGTTAGGTGCATATAAATTTAGGATTGTGATATTTTCTTCTTGTTGGATTAATCCTTTTATCATTATATAATGCCTTTTTTTTGTCTTTTTTTTTTTTAGCTGTTATTGCTTTAAAGTCTGTTTTGTCTGATATAAGAATAGCTATTCCTGATTGCTTTTGGTTTCCGTTTGTTTGGAATATCTTCTTCAACCCCTTTACCTTAAATTTATGTGAGTCTTTACGTGTTAGGTGAGTCTCTTGAAGACAGCAGATACTTGGTTGGTATTTTTTTAATCCATTCTGCCATTCTGTATCTTTTAAGTTCAGCATTTAGGCCATTTACATTCAATGTTAATATTGAGATATGAGATATTGTTCTATTCATCACATTAGTTACCTACTTTGTTTTTTTTCATTATTGTTTTATAGGCCCTATGAGATTTATGCTTTAAGGAGTTTCCATTTTTGTGTATATCGAGCTTTTGTTGGTTCTTATAATTGATTTTGGTATTTGTTTGGCAGGCAAAACTTTTTCTGACAGTTTCTGAGTCATGTTTGTTTTTGTTTACATTCCAAGGATTAAAACAGTTGCTGATATTAAAGCTAGTTCATTTAAAATAATCATTTATTTGTATTTTTTATTTTCTATAAAAACATAATTATTACAATATATCCAAAAGCAAATGTAGTAGAAAAAGATAACCTAATCTAATAAAACAGAAATGAACTTATTGCACACATAATTCCAGGAATTTCATTATGAATACATACATATGAGTATGTGCATATGTGTAAGTTATTTTAACTAACCAAAATGGGATCTCTGTTACTGTACTATACAAAGTTGGAACATGACTTATAATGCCTTTTTTATTCATGAAACATCATTCTGTTTCAAGGTCCATGAAGATATAGTAGAGTGTGTTTTTAGACTAATTATCACAGTGTTTTATGGTGCTGACAAAATGCAATTATTCAGAAATTTAATCTATATATATCATGAAACAGAATGATTTTATTATTTCTTATGTTCCATTAATATTTCAGGATTATCAGATATAATATTATCTCTTCACCTCTTGATATTAATTATTCTTCCTCCTTTTTAACATTTACTTTTTTGTTTTTAAAATTAAATGACATAAAAATTTCAGAAAAATGAAATAATGATTATATAAATTACAGAAATATGGATATAAGTGAGATATCAAGTCAGTCCAATCAGAAGGAAAATAATAATGAAATAGTTTAATAGCAAGTTTTTGAGTGCTTAGGAAAAACAGGTCTGGTGATACACAGATGATGGTAATGTAAATGTGTAGAATATTTTGCTGAATAATTTGGTAATGCTAACTCTATCTCATCATCTCTGCAATGTAGATTTTTCACAATGTATATTTCTGAAATGAAGATCATCTAACAATTGAATGCAACTTACAATTGCAGTCAATCAAGGGGTAATTGTAACATAGAAAACTTATGAAATCCATAAAAAACCTCTTTTTGATATTTTCTGATAAAACCAGGATAGTTCAATGAACTATCCAACTATTTGTCCCTATAATGTATCCACTAGAAATTTAATATTTATATGTGTTTTCATATGCACAGAAAGAGGATATAATTTCAAGAATAAAATATTAAAAATCTATTAGAAAGTGGCTCTGTATTTGTGTACTCCTAATTAAATAAAAATTGCTAGCCTTCTCATTTACCAGTGTCAAACTGAATAGATTCACAAATTATGACTTTAAAAAACACTTAAAAATAATATAAACCATGGAAAGCTTTTTCCTCACAGCATCAGCAACAATTTGCATTCTCTACCTTAATAACGTTTGCAATGCTGCTGATAAAATAATGCCATCTTGTTGTCTTCCTTTATCTGAATATTTGTCATTTCGAGAATATCTTCATATATTCCTCAATTATTTGAGATTTTTCTTAATTAATGTTTATTTATATGTTTTGCTCCAACTTCTTATTGGGTTGTTTGCCCTGAACTTGATGATTTATGGATATTCTTGATGGTTTTGGGTGTTTTAAAAACAGTAATAGTAAAAGTTTAGGGTAGGTGTGGCAGCTCACAATTGGGCAGATCACTTGAGGTCAGGAGTTCGAGACCAGCCTGGCCAACATGGTGAAACCCCATCTCTATTAAAAATATGAAAATTAGCTGGGCATGATGGCAGACATATATAGTCCCAGCTACCAGGAGGCTAAGGCAGGAGAATCACTTGAACTGGGAAGCGGAGGTTGCAGTGAGCCAAAATCATGCTACGGCACTCTAGCTTAAGGGACAGAGCAAAGACTCCATCTAAAAAAAAAAAAAAAAAAAAAACAGAAAAAAAAGAAGTTTAGATATCTCAAAATATTTGGAAACTAAGCACTAAGCACTATATACATTTTCAAATAGCTCAGGGAACAAAAATAAAGTTATAGTGGAAATTAGACTATATCTTAGGTGAATGAAAATACAAACAGAACACAGGCAAACCTACAGGTTGCAGGTGAAACTGTACATAGAGGGAAGGTTGTAATCTTAAATACATATGTTGGAAGAGAAAAATTGTTATCAATTTCTGAAAGTTAGAAGCAACATATTAAACCTAAAGCATAGAAGGAAAATAATAAATATAAGGGGTAGAATTTAAGAAAATAAAACACAACTGTAGAGTAGAAGGAATCCAGAAAGGACATCCACACCAAAACCCCATGTGTACGTCACCATCATCAAAGACCAAAGGTTGAACCACAAAGATGGGGAAAAAACAGAAGAGAAAAACTGAAAATTCTAAAAATCAGAACGCCTCTCCTCCTCCAAAGAAATGCAGCTCCTCACCAGCAATGGAACAAAGCTGGATGGAGAATGACTTTCACGAGTTGAGAGAAGAAGGCTTCAGACGATCAAACTTCTCCGAGCTAAATGAGGAAGTTCGAAAACATCACAAAGAAGTTAAAAACCTTGAAAAAAGATTAGATGAATGGCTAGCTAGAATAACCAATGCAAAGAAGTCCTTAAAGGACCTGATGGAGCTGAAAACCATGGCACAAGAACTACATGACGAATGCACAAGCTTTAGTAGCCAACTCGATCAACTGGAAGAAAGGGTATGTATCAGTGATTGAAGATCAAATGAATGAAATGAAGCGAGAAGAGAAGTTTAGAGAAAAAAGAATAAAAAGAAATGAACAAAGCCTCCAAGAAATATGGGACTATGTGAAAAGACCGAATTTACGTCTGATTGGTGTACCTGAAAGTGACGGGGAGAATGGAACCAAGCTGGAAAACACTCTTCAGGATATTATCCAGGAGAACTTCCCCAACCTAGCAAGTCGGGCCAACATTCAAATTCAGGAAATACAGAGAACGGCACAAAGATACTCCTCGAGAAAAGCAACTCCAAGACACAAAGTTGAAATGAAGGAAAAAATGTTAAGGGCAGCCAGAGAGAAAGGTCGGGTTACCCACAAAGGGAAGCCCATCAGACTAACAGCAGATCTCTTGGCAGAAACTCTACAAGCCAGAAGAGAGTGGGGGCCAATATTCAACATTCTTAAAGAAAAGATTTTTCAACCCAGAATTTCATATCCAGCCAAACTAAGTGTTATAAGTGAAGGAGAAATAAAATTCTTTACAGACAAGCAAATGCTGAGAGATTTTGTCACCACCAGGCCTGCCCTAAAAGAGCTCCTGAAGGAAGCACTAAACATGGAAAGGAAAAACCGGTACCAGCCACTGCAAAAACATGCCAAATTGTAAAGACCATCGATGCTAGGAAGAAACTGCATCAACTAACGAGCAAAATAACCAGCTAACATCATAATGACAGGATCAAATTCACACATAACAATATTAACCTTAAATGTTAATAGAGACAGGTTTCACCATGTTGGTCAGGCTGGTCTTGAACTCCTGACATCATGTTCCACCCCCCTCAGCCTCCCAAAGTGCTGGGATTAGAGGCGTGAGCACTGCCTCATTTTTTCTATGGCTGAGTAGTATTCATTGGGGGGGTTGCAGTGAGGCAAGACTGGATCACTGCACTCTAGCCTAGGTGACAGAGTGAAACTCCATCTCAAAAAAAAAAAAAAAGAATGCATATTGCTGCAGCATTAAGACTTGTCCTCTAATGCACATCTGAGATTCACATTTCAGCAACTTATTCCACATATAATTAGTCAATTGATCTTATTAGTTTGATTCAAGAAATAATCTGTTCTGGTCAAGAGAATATGGTTAAATTATATGCTTCAGTCAGAAAAATCCCAGATTGTATCTCAGATAACTTGTATAAGAATGTGGAGGAGGAGGAGGTATAGCAGGGCAGTGTTGGAAACAGGCCCCCAAATCTGGCCATAAACTGGCCCCAAAACTGGCCATAAACAAAATCTCTGCAGCAGTGTGACATGTTCATGATGGCCATGATGCCCACGCTGAAGGTGTGGGTTTACCAGAATGAGGGCGAGGAACACCTGGCCCACCCAGGGCGGAAAACAGCTTAAAGGCCTTCCTAAACCACAAACAGTAGTATGAGTGATCTGTACCTTAAGGACATGTTCTTATAAAGATGTCTCTACTCTATTTTCTTCCTATTCTCACCCTTTTTACATTGTCCCTAGCCTGACAAGAGAATACTTTGATCCAGCTCTTTCAGGCAGCAGCCTCCACTGGAAATCTCTCATATTTGCCACCATTCTCCCACTACCGGTCTTAGCAGGAACTCAGATCATATTGCAATCCCTGTTTCTGACTTCTTTACAGTTTCCAACTTCACTGTGACACACCATAAGGTTATAACACCACCTATGAAGACCATATTTTTCGCTGGACAACAAAGACACCATGATTCAAGCTGACTCCATATATACATACAGCCAAGTCTTGCTTCAAGAAAGGGGAGATGGCTACTGCAACCCTTCTACCAGCACTTACAATAAAGAAAAAAAACCCACCTTACTCTTCATGATAATTGAATTGTCACCACCTGTAAGATAAACACCAGCCACATTTTCAACCACCTATCACTTTCTTTTTTGCAACAACATTGTTACAATCAGTCCTATGCCAATTATTATTCTACCATCTGCCAAAGGCACAAAACTGCTCTAATATATTAAACTTTTGCTAAAAAGTAATCAATTGGCCATTCTTGATGGGTTGCCCTGAAGAGGTCAAAAAGCCACATTGCTTCCAGAGCATCCCCAAAATTAGGGACTACTGATGCATATCTTCTATCTGTGTAATCTTTGCAATTTTATTTTCCACCCATTGACATGCTGTATTTAAGGTAATCAATTCTACTTGCTGAGCTAATTTTGTTTCTGGAAAAGGGTTGCCTTTTGTGATTTCAGCCAAGGAGACAATAGCATAGCCTTTGTAGTATTTTCCTGAATCATTCCAAAGTTATGAACCATCTATAAACCAGATTATGTCAGCGTTGTGGATATGGGTCTCTTGTAAGTCCTGTCTGGGTATAAGGATTTATTCAGTCAAGACAACACAGTTGTGAGGTGTTTTATGGGAAGGTAATGGCAGCAGGGTGGCAGAGTTAAGGTTGCTGTACCAAGAAATGGTAATGTTTGGGGGAGACAAGAGGAGAACTTCATGTGAAGCAAGTCTGCTGACAGAAAAATGCTGGGCTAGTGAGAATTTAGCAGATTTTTCACACAGGGGCACATAGACAGTGACCAAGGAACCCATAATAATTTCTTCTATTGCTTTGGGGAGCATGATAGTAGCTGAAATTGCCCTCATGCAGAATAGTAAACTCTTGCTACTGCACGTATTGTCTGTAGAAACCTATAGCATCTTATAGGTCTATTACTGTCCCTATGTTTTCGAGTTAGGATCTCCAGAGCACTTCCGTTATCTTCAAGTACAAATAAGAAAATAGGGAGGTTGTAATTAGGGTGCCTGGGTTAAAGACAGTCGTAAGACTACCCTTAATGCTTTCTGTTGCTAATAGTCCTTCTGGGATCCACATAAGAGGATCTAGTTGGATTCCCTTTAGCAAGGCATACAGGGGCAGGGCTAGTAAATAAAAATTGGTTATCTCATTCTAATAACATCTGGCCAGACCTAGAAACCCTCTGAATTGTTTTTTGGTAGAAGGCTCAGGAAAGGCCAGAATTCTTTTGATTCTTTCTGGATTTATTAGCAACCTATCTTTGAAAATTAAATGTTGTAGGTGTTTTAATTGGTTTTAGGAGAACTGAAGTTTTCCTTAAAGAGCTATTTCCCTTTAGGGCCAATTGCTTTTATATTGTTATTTCTAAGAACCAATAAGCTGTAGGAACAGAGATGGACATTATCTACATATTGTAGGCATCAGAGTAGAGACTCCTCAGAAGTCCAGATCAGCTAGGTCAGATTTCAACATTTGGGAAAATTAGCTGGACTTTAAGTATATCCTTGGAGAGTCCAGCTACACTGGTGGTCACGCTTGGTGAAAGCAAACAGGTATTGCCTGTCTGTATCCACTAGAATACTAAGAAAGCACTGCATAGGAAAAAATTAAAATAAAAATAAATAAATAAATAAACAATAAATATCTGACTCCTGGTGGGTATTGTTTTGTTTTATTATTATTATTATTATTATTATTATTATTATTGAGATGGAGTCTCACTCCGTCGCCCAGGCTGGAGTGCAGTGGCAAGATCTCAGCTCACCGCAACCTCCACCTCCTGGGTTCAAGCAATTCTCCTGCCTCAGCCTCCTGAGCAGCTGGGACTACAGGCGCACGCTGCCAAGTATGGCTAATTTTTTTTGTAATTACTAGAGTCGAGGTTTCACTGTGTTGCCCAGGCTGGTCTCAAACTCCTGAGCTCAGGCAATCCATCCGTCTCGGCCTCCCAAAGTGCCAGGATTACAGGCATGAGCCACTGCGCCCAGCTTGGTGGGTATTATTGATAAGAGGGTATGGGAGTTACATAACCATAGGATGTCTTGAAATTATAATATTATTTGTTGCCCTCAAATATTGAACAAAATGTCCACCCTTTTTATTCGGTTTTCTAAATTGAAGAATTATACTGTTTCAGGCATTAATAGAAAAAGATAATTACGTACCTTTTTTTTTTTTTTTTGAGACGGAGTCTCGTTTTGTCGCCCAGGCTGGAGTGCTGTGGCGCGATCTCCGCTCACTGCAAGCTACGCCTTCCGGGTTCACACCATTCTCCTGCCTCAGCCTCCCGAGTAGCTGGGACTACAGGCACCCGCCACTGCGCCCGGCTAATTTTTTGTATTTTTAGTAGAGACGGGGTTTCACCGTGGTCTCGATCTCCTGACCTCGTGATCCACCCGCCTCGGCCTCCCAAAGTGCTGGGATTACAGGCGTGAGCCACCGCGCCCGGCCCATACCTTTTTATATAATCTTGCATTAGGGGAGTTATTCCTTCAATTGTATCTGGTTTTAGGTAAAGGTTTATATTCTTTACCTAAAACTAGATTATTTTAGGTAAAAGTTTAGGTGGATTTACTTCAACCTTAATAGGAGTGGCTGAAATTATTTTTCCAATGTTTGTGAATGATTGTGGCCACAAATGGTCTGGTAGTGTTGTCAGTATCATCCATTGGTTCTGAAATGTTTCATTGGATTTGTATAGGAATATTTCCAGTGTCTATGCTTTCATTATCTGTAGGTTGAGTTTTCTATCCCTTTGAATTATGTTCCACGTTCACAACTATTTCCCTTTTTTGAAAGAAGGAAATGTGTGCATTGGAAATTTCTAAAAAAAAAAATTCTACTAAGATGATATATGGGAGCTGAAGGAACAAGCAAAACGGAAAGAATACCAACTAATATCTCTTGTTGAAATTCCAAAAGTTGGAACTGATAGATAATCTTAGGTTGTCTACATACCCCCACCATTGGACAGTATTTGTTACTCTGAGGAAGGAGACAGTTTTAAGGTAGTGGGGTTGAGAACAGAGAAAGTAGCATGGGATCAGTGAGGTCCCAGGTCTGTTCTCCATTTATTAACATGTCTATTTTCCCAAGTAGAAATAGAAAAGCCTCCTTTTAATCCTCAAGCAGCCTCATTCTTCCTTGGAAGACAGCTTTTGCTGGAGTTGCCATTTTAAGTGTCAGCAATCCCTCTTGAAGTGATCAGGCTCTCTGTAACAAAAGATGCCCTGCTGGTCATTAGGGGTTGCTTGCTTTGTCTCAGGGGGCTTATTCTGGCATGTTAGCTGCTGGAACTGTACACTCATGACCTTTAAAGCCTTGTTTTTCCTCTTCTTTGGAGAACTTTAGAGAGTTGGTCAGCTAGATAGGCAAGGTCATGCATTTCGGTTGTGACCCAATTATTATGGTGCCAGTTTACTAAAATGGCTAAGTTTTTAATTAGCCCATTAAGGAAGGCAGAGTTTAAAAGGATGCCATTGTGATAATTCTAAAGGCTGGTGTTGGCCACACCAAAATTTTGCTCAAAGCTTTTCTTAAATTATTTACAATTATCAAGGATGGGTTCATCTGGCCTCTGTTTACATTGCCAGATCTTATTCCAGTCAACATTATTATGGAAAATTTGCAGTATAGCCCAGTGGAATGCATTCCCTAAGTGACAAACCCATTCCTGATCCTCCTCTGCATTTTTTAAAAATCTTCTAGTGGATTAACCCAATTAGCTCACTTCAGCCATTCTGTAGCCTTTCATTCTGAGACTAACATTTGAATTAACAGATAAAAATTTAAGTATCCAGGATCATAAGTGCAGACAATGCAATGACATTATTATGACAATATTATGAAAATTTCAAATCAAATTATTTTGCAAACCCCAAAGCGTCTTTTGTAGGGCTTGGGAAATTCTTGTCATGACACTTATTGTGACAATTTCAAATCATTTTTTTAGAAACCCCAGGGGTCTTTTGTAGGGTTTGAGAAATTCTTGACAGTATTCTTAAGTTCAATTCTAGTCCAGGTTGTATAGATCTGACCTGGCTCCCCTCACCTCATTATGTGTTTTGTTTCAAAGGGAACCGCTATGACAGGGGATTTGGAATTACTTTCAGGAAGGGAAAGTTTAGTTGAAGAGGAGAGGGAGGAGAGAGAGAAGATAAGTCAGGCAAGAGAGTTCAGGAAGATCAGGATCATGGGCAGATAAGCAGATAAGATAAGGAATGGTTGTGGGACAGAGAGAAGGAATTTCTGAGGTTTTCTTAAGTTCAGAAATGGCTTCAGAAAGTTTTTTGTTAACTTCTTGGAGGGAGGCAATCTTGTCTGTCCCTCACTTGGAAGCATCAGCATAGCATTGG
Source organism: Homo sapiens (assembly GCF_000001405.40). Classification (NCBI taxonomy): domain Eukaryota; kingdom Metazoa; phylum Chordata; class Mammalia; order Primates; family Hominidae; genus Homo; species Homo sapiens. The sequence continues at coordinate 49,137,055 of NC_000007.14, read as the reverse complement.
AAATAAGTTTCCCATTCACTTCGTCAGATTCTGAACCCAGTGTTTTATAATTATGCATGCAATTAAACTAATATGGGAATTTAAAGGGACGTCTATTATGGCTATTGTAATTTGTGGTGATCTCGTTATGAGGGAGCATTTGCCCAATATTTACAAGACAAAGTTCTGTAGATGTTACAAATAAATCCAGCTCGTGTCTCCAAATGGAGCTGCCTCCTCAGAAAGCCCTAAGACTTGGATGATTGTTACCCATAATTTAGAGGCCTGAATCACTCACAACCAAGCTCTCGGAAACGTGCCGCTTATGAGTGTGGCTCCTCAGTGTGTCGCCACTGATTCAGATCCACTCTTGGACATGTCTCAGAAACTCTTGTGTCCCCAGAGGGCCACAGAGGCTCACAAGTGTCCAGAAGGTCATAGAGGGCTCACAAGTGTCCAGTCTTCATGTGCACTGGCTGGCAGAGTGGGAGAAATTACAGAAGTTCCTCTGAGAGTGGAAGCACTGTAAGGCTGCTGCATGTCATGGACAAAAGTCCTGACATAGCTCTCAAGTCTTTAATTATGGAGAGTGCCCTAATGGGCCAGAGGAAGCAAGTACCTTTTGTCTTTGGAGTGAAGAATCCACTCTCATAAATTAGGGAAAGAAAATCCAAGAGAGGTTCATCATGAGTGAAACAAGTCAGGTTTCCAAAATGAAATGCCACAACACAACAAGATCTCAGCTGAGGATGAAAGCAAACTTCTGACTCAAAACCTAAATGTTGGTGGGAAAATAGCCTTATCTCCTAACGTAAGTAGGGAAGTCAGAGACAGAGACCCTCATTCTGAAAGGGTCGAAAGAGAAACTACCCAAGTAAAATCTAGACCTCAAGCAAAGGAAGGGAGGTCTGAAATCAGGAGGACTCACCCACAGTGCCCAGTGGGACTTCTGAAGATGGAGAACACAATGGGTCCATGCTAGCTTTAAGCATTACTTTCAAAGAAAAATCCCATGCTGACTCCTACTGAGTATGCCAGAATATCAATCTAAAAGGAAGAACAAAGGGGAATGCATATAAACAAAGAGTTTATTTGGACCAAATTTGAGGATTGCAACCCAGGAAACACTCTACTAAACTAAGCTTGAGAGGTGCTCTGAGTTAGGACAGTTACAAGCATGTTTTAAAAGACAAAATGAGAAGGTACAGCAAGGCAGTCTCAGACTGCTCACATAGAAATACCATTTGTTAACAGAGATAAGCTGGCAGATGATTGGCTAAAGGCTACAGTGTTTTTTGAAATAGTCATTATCAGTATGTGATTAGGTCAGTTCTTGGATTTTCTCACATAAGCAGGAAGGGTCCAAGAAGTTCAGAGAAGTAACTGGGGGCTCATGTCTCCTTTCCTTTGATCATTTTAATTTAGGTCACCTATCACCATCCAATTTTGTTTTCAGCTGTTACCTACAGTCCCCCAAAGTCCTTTGCCCTCTTTTTTTTCCTCTGGACAAACCTAATGCAATCTCCTCATTATGTTTGGCTTTTATAAAAACAAAGGGAGAGGAATTGTTTGATGTCCTTCGTGCCATGGAATCTTACTTTCCCTAAGACAGAGGAACACAATATGAATGACCGCCTGATGGGAAAGAGGAATGGAAAGTATGGGGAAACCACACATGGATAGCTCAACTGATTGTCTTCCACCATTTGTTGTAGTAAAAAAATGCTGTGCAGGCCGGGCACAGTGGCTTACGCCTGTAATCCCAGCACTTTGGGAGTCTGAGGCAGGTGGATCATCTGAGGTCAGGAGTTTGAGGCCAGCCTGGTCAACATGGTGAAACCCCATCTCTACTAAAAATATAAAAATTAGCTGGGTGTGATGGTGCACTCCTGTAATCCCAGTTATTAGGGAGGCTGAGACTGGAGAATTGCTTCAACCGGGAAGGCAGAGGTTTCAGTGAGCCAGGATCACGCCACTGTACTCCAGCCTGTGCAACAGAGTGATACTTCATCTCAAGAAAAAAAAAAAAGAAAAAAAAAGTGCTATGCAATGGGGTATCAGACCCACACTCAAGTTCTGTGAAGCCTGCTCTCATCAGTGTGCTATGGAACATGATTTCTCCCTCCTAGATCCTCAGATTTCTCACCCATACAAAGTGAAGGGTGAGAATTTCCCTCTGGTCTTTCTCTTGGATATTCTCAGTCACACGAATGCTCATATTCTCTCCAATGTTAATTTCCGGATGGAGACCTCAACAGTTTAGCCTCCTTCTTGTCTTTTAGTGTGGCCATGTCCCACTCTTCCCATGAAGGTGTGGAGGTTCTTCTTCTTATCAAACTTACATTTGAACTTGAAGCCCTTTGCATTACTGCTAAGTACCATGCAGAAACAACAGGGGTTAGGATGAATAGCATGCTTGGAAGATTTACCCAAAGTGTATGATGATGGTGGTCCCTGTCTACATATATTCTTTCTTAGATGTTAGTAAATAAAAGTTACTGTGGGCTCCTTTCTTTTACATTATTTCTCATGGAAGGAGTGTATCCATCATTCTTCCCTCCTTTATGAAATTTTTTTTTTTTTTTTTGAGACGGACTCTCGCTCTGTTGCCCAGGCTGGAGTGCAGTGGTGCAATCTCGGCTCATTGCAACCTCCACCTGCCGGATTCAAGTGATTCTCCTGCCTCAGCCTCCCAAGTAGCTGGGACTACAGGCACATGCCACCATGCCCAGCTAATTTTTGTATTTTTAGTAGAGACGGGGTTTCACCATGTTGGCCAGGATGGTCTCCATCTCTTGACATCGTGATCCACCCACCTGGGCCTCCCAAAGTGCTGGGATTACAGGTGTGAGCCACTGCGCCTGGCCCTTCCTTTATGATTTTAATGAAAGCTGTGTGGTTATGTATATCAGTCAAGTGTATTCCTAGGATTTGAAGATAGAATTTAACTGAAGAAGCCAACAGAAAAAAACACAAGGGAAAAGGAAGGAAAGAAGAGAAGGAGGGAAGGAGAAAGGAAGGAAGCCACTTGCTCTGTTTGCTACAGGTAAGCAAGCTGTTGCTCTTAGGCCATACAGATTCCATGACCCTCTGGCCAGCTTAGATATGAACTCCTCCAGACATTCCCTGAAAGGTGGTTTGGTCTTTGCCATCCTGATGGCTCTTGAAAGTCTATGATAAATGCATAAGAATAGCCACCACACTGAAAGTATTTTTAAGAATCCTTCTCTAAATAGAAAATTTTACTTTGTTCTCTCAGTTTATACCTGTCACCTTGTAGTGTGTTATTTTAAGATTGCTAAGTTAATAGTGTCCACAGTTACCAAATAATAGAGAAAAGTAAGCCTCTATAAATGATAACAATCAAAAAACAGTAGAAAAGGCACTTTTTGCTGATAGTTTAAAAAGTTACCTCGTCATATTTGGAAAGACATCATTCTCCCCTACTTTTCCCCGAATATTCTGAAACTACAGCCTCTCTCAGTCTTGCTACTTGCCGTATGTTTCTCTCTCACTAGATTTTTGTGTTCTCAGAGAATGCTGAGGGCAATTTAGTTATAAAAAAGCACAGGTGAAGGAATAAAAATGTGTTTGATTTTTTAAAATATATCAATTTACTTGGAAAAGAAGTACTCATAAACTTTTTGAACAAATCCTGGGGTTGACTAGAGTTTGATTTGGAGAAATGTGATGTCATTGTTGAGTATAGAAGTAGAAAATCACATGCGTTCCTGCTTCAAGGTTAAGAGGGACTGACTCCATGGTACCACTGGGAGCGGATTCCACCAATGGAAATATCCCTAACTGTCTATTTTGTTTCAGAGTGCCATCCTGCCAGAATATTAATGTGCTGTAGTAATAATATACCACACCTAAAGGAGACAGCAGATAAGCAAATATTCGGTGCTTATCAAGTAGGAAAAGGGGACTAAAGTTCCTATTTCAATGACAAAAACCTTTTAATTGATTGCTACATGTTTGCATTAGTCAAGAAATTCAAGGTAATGGACATAAAGTTATGAACATGATTCATCCCCACATCTTTTCAACTGTAGAAATATGCACTACTATAAAAAAGAAGAGCAAAGTTTTAGTGGCACAGCTGACAAACAACTGGAGAAATTTTTACCAACCAAGACTCAGTGGTGCCCTTAACCAAAAAGTGGAACTCACTCAGCAAAGATAGAAGTAAGCAGTGCTCTCCCAGGAGTTTGGGCCATGTACCCACCCCAGCGTATTACGTCTGTAGATAGTCCTCCTTCAGCACTGGTTCAGCTACTCTGGTTTCCAGAAAAGTAATGAGTCTGCTGCTGAACCTAGGTAAAAGTTCCTGAATTCCTGGGTGAAATGAAGATGAAATCACAGAGCCTGGAAGGATAAAATAGATTGTGTGATTTGTGTTTACAAGGGGTGTGTGTGTGTGTGTGTGTGTGCAATTGTTTATGTGTGCCTAACCCACTGTTTTTCAAGAGGTGAAATTACTTACCACTTAATAGTACTTTAAGTTATGCAGTAATAAACTAGATTCTTCATGCTGAGTGAACCAGATAGTAGGATTAAGGGGAATTCTTCCTCAGGCAGATGGAATTACAAGCAGTAAAAAACTGCAGAACATCAGAAATGTTAGCAGGTACAACATCAAACACTTCATATTAGATCTGATTATATATATATAAACAATAGATAAACTATAGGATGAAATTTCAACTGTGTAACCACAAATATGAAGCAGGCATCAAACTCTCAGGATGTGTTTCAGGTCCCATAGAACATAGGCTGTCCTTTGCTATAGCTTGATGGGAAGGTTCTGGGTCCCCTCAGTCCTCCAGGCTGCTGCCCTGATCAAAGCTGAAGAGCCCATCCCCTTGCCTGTGTACAGTAGATTGTGAGCTCACCCAGACTCCTCCTAAATAGTGGATAAAGAACAAACAAAAACAGATCATCAATTTGAAAGGTTAATGCCTTAAACTCACTTGCATGGGAATAACATTTTTAGGGGGAAATAATAATGCTAATAATAAATTCCCACAAGAGACAGAAGAAAGAACAATTCCCTGTGAGCCCAGCATTGAGTATCGTAGTGGTTGAACATCCCAACATTGAACACTTGGTTTTTAGCTAAGAATAAATAGGAAACAAATGCCATTTTAGATGGGATTAAAATGAGGTTCTCTTTAAAATGCCATCTATCCAGTGTCTCGTTCTTTCATCTGTCTTTGCTACATCCACTGACTTTTCTCAGCCCCTTCAACCCAGTTCTCATGGGACTTCAGCAAATTCACTTTTCCTTCTTTCTTTTATTCTAGAAAAGAATGCAGCACTGGGCTAATGCATCTGTCCTGTTTTGACTCTTACCCCATCTCCCAGGCCTCCTGTGCTGGCTTCTTGTCTTCTCCCAATTCCAAAGTTTCAAGGCCCTGTTAACAAATCCCCACCTCTATGAGGCCTTCCTTGATTTCTTTAAGTGCCGCTGACCACTCTGCTCTGTGCCACTGTGTCATTCAACTTGTTGCATTTTCCCAGAAAATTATAGCATTTTGCTTCATAATGTAGTGATTTATTTCATTGACTAGAAGGTAGTCCTTCAATAGCAGGAACTTCCTTAGTCTCACCAATGCCCTGTCATATTAGAAATTATAGCAATAACATATTTGTTCCATATATTATATTCTAGTAAAAAGCATGCAAAATTGAATTATTAAAAATTGAAACCTGGATCTGTCATCAAATACTTGTCTTTGGGGTAATCAGCTTCCCTCCTTTATTTCTTTTTTTGTCCTTATTTTTCCTAGCACAAATCTGCATGTTACATATTTGTTTATACCAGCCGTTGTTGTTAAATGATGGAGTGTTAGCTGGCTTTTCTTGTTTTCATAGCTGACTTCCTCACTGTGTTGAAATGAGCCACTTCTTTGAAAAGAGTAATACTCAGTAAACTTAATTTCTTATCCTGTAATTGTTACCTTAAAATCAGTAAATGACACTAATTGTAATTTAAATAATTAGTAATTAAATCATAATTAAAGTAGGTCATTTGACAAAGTAATATGGTTTTTCTTATTGTCTATATGTAAAAATAATGGTGTGCAATTTAAATGTCAAACCAAATTTAAAATATGTCTCCAAGTTTCTGAGGATGTGCTATGCCCTGATATTAATCACAAGAGTTATTAAAAATAGAGCTATTTATTTTATCAAATATTTTATAATGGCTTATGCACATTACATTTTAAATTGCTTTATCATTACAAAGGATATGACAAAGATTGGACTTTGCTTCAATTTTTCTTTTTAAGGAGCTTCAAACACTGACATTGACAAGTTTTCTTTACTAGCTAATACATTCTCCCCTCAGGGGTGAATTTTGCAGCTTGTCAATTTTGAATGAAATTGTTGTGATTTTACAAAGTAGAAAATTTTTATACAAATAAATTTGAAATTCTGGAGCAATTAGAACAATAAAATCATAGTATTAAGTTATTGTTATTCAGAAAACCCAAGTATGTCTCACAGGTTTAAAAATGCTTCTGCTTTAATGAAGCAGGAAATACAATGTAGAATAAGACAGTATTTTAATTAGTAATCTCGATACACCGTTATTCTCTAATAGTCTATCCAGTTACTGAATCGTTACTAGCTGGTAAATAAAAGATTGATAAAATCCCCTGTCTCAGTGCTGTGACTCTACATAAATTGGCACGTCCCATACACCTGAGAGTTGAACCTGCTCAAATTGTTGGAGGTTCAGATTACATTTAATAATGAAATTACACCACCTGCCACTTTTTCTTTTCTTTTAAGGACCTGTGTTAAAAGGAAGTCACACATACACAATTATCAATAGGCAAATATAAAATAAAGATGGCTTTATAAGGCAGTCTAGATGGTGTTTACTCTGGAGCCCCGAGGTATATATTTTCTTTCTTATTGGGCAGGGAATGGCTGAGTATCTACTTTCTTTTACTGACATTGCTAGCGGGGAAGCAGGGCTGGCCAGACCAATGAAGGAGACTCACTTATTGCACAGGGACCAGAGTGGGAAGGAGAGATTGCCAAGAATGGCTGCAGACCTGAGTCACTCGCCTTCTTCCACCTGAGAAGCGAGGGTCCAGGAAGGCTCTGGATTCTGGGCAGTGGAGCCCAGGGGAGGAGGCATTCCGTCTATCAGGTTCCTGTGTAGGTAAGGAGTTTAAACCTTCCATTGCTGGACAGACTGCCCTGCCAATGAGGCCTAGGCTTCAGAGCTTCTGCTTTTGCCTGCACCTTTCAACCTTTCAAGGCTCTGGGAGGCACCACAGTAATTGTTCACTAGTATATATATATACACATACACACACACACACACATACACATATTGTGTATATGCATACATAAACAGATGTATATGTATATACATGTATACATGTATGTGTGTATACATATATGTATACATATACACACATATATGTATATATGTGTATATACAAACCTACTGCAACACCAGGATGTATATATGTATATGTATGTATATATGTACATGCATATACATATATACATACATATTTACATACATATTTGTGTATATATGTATATGTGTGTATATATAAATATGTATGTACCTGTGTGTACATATATATACATATATACATTCCTGGTGTAGCAGTAGGTTTGGACATTTGGGGAGCCACTATGAAACATTTAAATAGGATGCATGTATTCTGGTTTTATTGTTTTTGTGCTTTGCTGTTACATACTGAATATTTAGGTCTTTGCTAGCTGGGTTCCAGAGGGATAAGGTCCAAGAATACTCACCTATCCCTCTGTGGATTCACCTGGTTTTGAATCAGGTGAGGGTAGGGCACTGCACATGTAGGATAAAGGAAAGAAAACAAGATTTGAAAGCAGGATTTGGTTGGGGTTTTTCCCAAATTAACACAGCCTTTGAAATTTATATAACTACCAATAAGAAATTGTGTGGCTGGAAAAAAATTCAAGTTATCAATAAAAAATAATATTTTTGAACAACTATTCTAGAGGAAGACTGATTTTTTAAAGTCTACCCTACAAAGAACTATATTCCAAAATAATTGCATATGAAAAAACTATCGAAGTGTACGCAACCCAAAAGAAGAATACTAAAACAAGGTTTCAAATATTATAAAATATTTTCAGATTTTGTAATGTTTTTAGTTTTTGTCAGGTTAAAAAAGTTTTAGTTTATTATGGTATTTTTTCTCATTCTGAATTTATATTTGTTTTTTATACCTAAGATTATTTTATGTGTAATTTTTTTGTTATTTTTCTTAAAGGGATTATGTAAACTTCTTAAATGTCAATACTCAGGAAAACTTCATGGTTTGGAGTAGAAATATGAGTATGATGAAAATGAAACCTCTTTTAATCCTGTTTTTGTGGTTGATGATGATAATAGTGACTGATTATGAAGATGATGATAACAACAGCGACAGGGAGAGAATTTCGAAAAGTTTTTCTAGCCCCATGAGAAGGATAGGTAAGATTTTGCAAGAAAGTACACGGCAGACAAAGAGCCACTCTGTCCTCAGCCGTAATTACACAAGACATCCACGCTGAGAAGGGCAAGTTTCTCTTAGTAATGGAAATTAGTCAGGTGAGACTGGAAGTGGGGATGTCTTAGAAAGAATGGAGTGAGGGGAAAGAGCTGTGATTTAGTTGAAGAAATAGCATGGGATCAGGTTTGAGGTCAGACTTCAAATCGCCTTGAATACTTTGGAAAGAGAGAGGCTTTGCACCGTTAGTAATAGGGCACCTTTAAACATTTTTATTGAAGATGTGATGTGAGTATCTGTACTTTTGGAATAAACCAACTATGCCCAGAATTGCTAATTATCGTATTTCTAAAATATTCTGATTTGCCCCTTCTAGAGTATACGAGTAAGTCCTATAGTAGCTACATCAGTTTAAAACAAAAAGAAAAGCAACCTGCTTTTAAAAATATAAAACTAAAAAGAAATAAGACACACTAAAGATTGTTCTGCATATGTTTCCATAAAGTCTAGTTTGAGGAGCTTATTAATTCTTACTAACTAGTCTTCTGCCACATTTGATAAGGGCGATTAGAGAATGAACTACTCACTAAGCATTATTTTTACATGACATAAATAAGCATAACTTTTTTTCTTTCTCCTTTAGTTTGTGGCCCAAGTTTAGTCTATTTCGTCTCCATCTGTTTATCTCCTTTGCTGTTCTCAGTAATAAGTGATAGTCACTTGGGTCTCTCAGCTATGATTTGCACAAATAAAACCTGACACAGCTTTCATAAAATAATGTCAATACTATATCAAATTTCTCTCAACATAGTCCCACACAGCTGCAGCAACTGAGAGAAACAAAAACTGCCTTCAACCATAATTTATACAATCATAAACGGAGTGGAATGTTCCCCTTAAAAACTGCCTGGATATTCCATAAACAAGATGATGAATCACCAAAGTTGTCGTTATTTGCTTTCTTTCCTTCTTTCGAAGTCATTGGAAAGTTCTGTTGCTTTGCTGTGTGTTTGTTTACTTTTTGCCTAACTTCTGGTAAGCTCTTTCTATAAAGGTGATGCATATTTGTTAAGACATGCTTTTGAAACCACGTGGACCAGATGGAACTACATAAACATTTGGAAAGGAAAAAAAGGTATTTATTTTTCTATTGCCATGACAAATCATCTGTATTTTATTAATACTGTAAGATTGAAATAAACTACTTTTTTTTTTTTTTTGAGATGGAGTCTCACTCTGTCACCCAGGCTGGAGTGCAGTGGCACGATCTCAGCTCACTGCAAGCTCTGCCTCCCAGGTTCACATCATTCTCCTGCCTCAGCCTCCCGAGTAGCTAGGACTACAGGTGCCCCCCACCACGTCCAGCTAATTTTTTGTATTTTTAGTAGAGACAGGGTTTCACCGGGTTAGCCAGGATGGTTTCGATCTCCTGACCTCTTGATCTGCCCACCTCGGCCTCCCAAAGTGCTGGGATTGCAGGCGTGAGCCACCGTGCCTGGCCAAAATGAACTACTTATTATCATTTATAACATCCAAAAGACTTGAAGACAAAGTTAGAAATAAATTTACTCTGGTTGGGAAGGTAGAAAGGAAGTGGCTATACCACAGTACAAAACTAGATTTATGTAATCTGAAGGAAAGAAAGTGTTAAGAAATGAGTCTCATTCATTTATTCTCTTAACTTTGTAGAGGGAATCTGGATATAAGGTCATTTAACTACCAAAATAAGAAGCTCTGAACCTCTCATTACTCTGAAATAGAGAGAGGGTGCTAATCAGAATTAACAAAAGAAAACATAACAGAAGCTCTGTGTTCAGGACTGGGAATACTGAGCATCACAGGCATAGGGTATCTTCACTGTCGAGAGGGTGCCATGCTAGGATGGTACCCAAGTTAGACATCGATGAGGAAGTCCTAAACATGCCGCAGATGTGATGGCATTATGAGAAATACATATGTGCAGGTTAACCTCAGAGAGTAGACAGATAAGAAGAAATATAGAGGTGAAGGATATAGGCAAGTGGATGTAGAAAAGTCTTAACCTGTTTAGGAATCAGAGTTTGCCTTGGAATGAGAGAAGTCAAAATAGTAAGCTCAAGAAGTGATCTGGAAATTTGCTTCCTAAGTAGGTCTTAGAATACTATTCTTGGCCTAATAGTTAATGGATTACTGGGTAATCCATCACAAAAATAAATTTTAACAATGTTGGTTTCAATGAGTTAAACGTGTTTTTCTTCTGCAAAATGTATTAATGTCTTTAATATACTAATAGGCATTGTGACTTTCCTAACAAACTGATAGCATGCAAACTTTTGCAACCCTTTTGATGACAGAGCCACTTTTTATAAATGCCTGTTTCTAGAACTATTATAGTCAATGCATACAAACTTGAAAGAAAAATGGTTTATAGGAATATCATAAGTTCCAATTAATATTTGGTTTAGACAGCAGTTATAAAAAATGGAAGCAAATTTCGTTAGAATGTATCAAAATGTAGAGTTATTAAAATTCCACATAGATCCCTAGGCTAAATTCTTGGTGTCCCTAACCTACTAGATGTGCATTTTCTTCTTAGAAGACAAAGTTCATCCAAAGAGTAAGCATTTTGCTAAGAAAAGTTTACAAACCTTAATCTTGAGTGCTAAATTAAAGGCAAGTTGACTACTGTCTGCAAGGATCTCAGCAGAGTTTAACAGAGTTCAGGAAGGTGGCAGCCCTGAGAGTACAGGCTCCTGACTCCTTTAAATAACGAGGATGGGAGACAAGGCAACTGTGGACACACGGTGTCTGGGAAGTTCTTGAAGGCTATCCAAGGCCATAGTTTGCAGTGGTGATTTTTTTTTTTTGCCCTCGGATTTGGACCACATGGAGGAGTTTCTTCTTGAGTCTTGGTGAAGACTGACTCTTGCTCAGGTACTGAGAGGCTTCAGAAGAAGGTGAGTGAGTTGTTCAACACTGGCCTGAAATCAGGGGATGAAGATGATAGACAATAGCATGAAGATTACAGTTAGGGAAAAGAAACATTTCCGAACAGACAAGCTTGCTGGACAGCTGAAAAGGGCTGCCCCTCCTCCTACAGCCTCCTGCCTCTGTTTAAGCACTCTTGCCTGGTAAAGTTGATCTGTCCGAGATGAATTAAACAGTGTTTTTCCTTGAGGCAAGCAAGGGGTTTTCCCAAATCCCTTCATGGACATAAATTCTATAACAAGTGTCCATCGTTTTTAGAAGTTATTCATGTGTACCTTCCTTTCCACCTCATACAGAACATCATAAACATAGACAAAATTGTTATAATACATATGTAACAAACCTGCACATTGTGCACACGTAGCCTAAAACTTAAAGTATAATAATAATAGAATTTAAAAAATTGTTATAGAAGTCTTCTCATAAATGATTAAACACTTAAGTCAGAAAGAACAATAGCATTATCTCATTGTTGCTAATGAATATAAATACCTTGGCATTATTTTATATGCTGATTCATAGGATGTTTATGCAATGTCTCATTCTTTTAACTTCACTTTTCTTGTGATTTATAATCTCTTCATTAAACAGTCTTCTCATCCTCCCTGGCAGGATGTGGATGCTGAACCCCGCTATATGTCCGTTCATCAAGAACCTTAGTCTTCCGATAAGATGCCCCAAGCACTGTGTCCAAAAGAGCTCTCATTGTAATTGGGTCTGAAATTTACATAATAATGTTATCTTTAATTCTGGAAAATGATAACCATAGAAATGAATTAATGATGGGAACAATTATCAAGAAATGGGATTCAATAATGTTAGAGTTTAGAAACTGTTGAGCTGAAAAATGCTAATGCAGTTGTTTGTTTGGGCTTTTGTTCTCAGTAGGATTGTCAAAGGAGGAGAATGTGAGAAAATATAAGGAATGGCCCTGCAAGTGATTCTGCTCAGTGGTCCATCCTGGAAACAGTTGGAGCTTGATGCATAGTTCAGGAACATGACATATCTTATACTCCACTCTCTGTCCTCTCTACACAATTCAGCAATTGTTTTTAGGTAGGAGCACAAAAGTCTCTCTCTGTTTTTTTTTTAAATATTTGTTATGAACATCTTGACTTTGAAGAAAAAAATGTCAGGTCAACTGGGTACTACTTCTGGGTTACAATCTGTTTTTTTAAATTCATTTTTTATTTTAATAGGTTTATGTGGAACAGGTGGTATTTGGTTACGTGAATAAGTTTTTTATTGGTGATTTCTGAGATTTTCATGCACCCATGACCCAAGCAGTGCACACTGTAGGTAATGTGTAGTCTTTCATGCCTCACTCCCCTCCCACATTTTCCCCTCAGTCCCCAAAGTCCATTGTATAATTCTTATGCTTTTCGTGTCCTCGTAACATAACTCCCAATTATGAGTAAGAACATGTGGTGTTCGGTTTTCCAATCCTGAGTTGCTTCACTTACAATAATAGCCTCCAATTCCATCCACATCCAGGTTGCTGCAAATGCCATTATTTCTCTTTTTTATGGCTGAGTAGTATATATATGTGTATATATATATATATATATATATATATGACATGTATATATATGGTATATATATATACACACACACACACACGTATATATCACATTTTCTTTATCCACTTGTTCATTGATGGGCATTTGAGCAGGTTCCATATTTTTGCAATTGTAATTGTGCTGCTATAAATATGTGTGTGCAAGTATGTTTTTCATGGAATGACTTCTTTTCCTCTGCGTAGATACCTAGTAGTGGGATTGCAGGATCAAGTGGTAAATCTACTTTTAGTTCTTTAAGGAATCTCCACAGTGTTTTCCATAGTGGTTGTACTAGTTTACATTTTTGATTTTTTGATTATGGTCAGTCTTGCAGGAGTGAGGTGGTAGGACATTGTGGTTTTGATTTGCATTTCCCTGATAATTAGTGATGTTGAACATTTTTCCACATGCTTATTGAGTCATTTGTATATCTTCTTTTGAGAATTGTCTATTCGTGCCCTCAGCCCACTTTTTGGTGGGATTTTTTTTTTTCTTGCTGATTTGTTTGAGTGGTTTGTAGATTCTGGATATTAGTCTTTTGTTGGATGTATAGATTGTGAAGATTTTCCGTCACTCTGTGGGTTCTGTGTTTACTCTGCTGATTATTTCTTTTACTGTGTGGAAGCTTTTTAGTTTAAGTCCCATCCATTCATTTTTGTTTTTGTTCCATTTGTCTTTGGGTTCTTGGTCTTGAAGTCTTTACCTAAGCCAATATCTAGAAGGGTTTCTCTAATGTTATCTTCTAGAATCTTTATGGTTTCAGGTCTTAGATTTAAGTTTTTGATCCCTCATGAGTTGAATTTTGTATAAGGTGAGAGATGAGAATCCAGTTTTATTCTTCTACATGTGGCTTGCTAATTATCTCTTCACCATTTGTTGGATAGGGCATCCTTCACTACTTTATGTTTTTATTTGCTTTGTTGAAGATCAGTTGGCTGTAAGTATTTGGCTTTATTTCTGGGTTCTCTACTCTGTTTGATTGATCTATGTGCCTTTTTTCATACCAGTACCATGCAATTTTGGTGACTATGGCCTTATGATATAGTTTGAAGTCAGGTAATGAGATGTCTCCAGATTTGTTATTTTCGGCTGGTCTTGCTTTGGCTATGCTGACTCATTTTTGGTTCCATATGAATTTTAGGATTTTTTTTAGTTCTATGAAGAATGATGGTGGTATTTTGATGGGAATTGCATTGAATTTGTAGATTGCTCTTGGCAATATGGTCATTTTCTCAATATTGATTCCACCCACCTATGAGCGTAGGATGTCTTTCTATTTGTTTGTGTCATCTATGATTTCTTTCAGCAGTGTTTTGTAGTTTTCCTTGTAGAAGTCTTTCTCCTCCTGGGTTAGGTATAATCCTAAGTATTTTATTATTTTATTTTTTGCAGCTATTGTAAAGGGGGTTGAGTTATTGATTTGATTCTCAGCTTGGTCACTGTTGGTGTATAGCACAGCTACTGATTTGTGTACATTGATTTTGTATCCTAAAACTTTGCTGAATTCGTTTACCAGTTCTAGGAACTTTTTGGATGAGTCTTTAGGGTTTTCTAGCTATAAAATCATATAGCCAGCAAACAGCGACAGTTTGACATCCTTTTTACCAATTTGGATATTCCTTATTTCCTTTTCTTGTTCAATTGCTCTGTCTAGGACTTCCAGTACTATGTTGAATAGAAATGGTGAAAGTGGGCACCCTTTTCTGGTTTTCAGGGGAATGCTTTCAACTTTTCCCCATTCAGTATAGGGTTGGCTGTGAGTTTGTCATAGATGGCTTACATTACCTTAAAGTATGTCCCTTCTATGCCAGTTTTGCTGAGGGTTTTAATCATAAAGGAATGCTTGATTTTGTCAAATGCTTTCTCTGCATCTATTGAGATAATCGTGTGATTTTTTAAAAAAATTCTGTGTACGTGGTGTATCACATTTATTGACTTGTGGATGTTAAACCATCCCTGCATCCCTGGTATGAAACTCACTTGCTCATGGTGGATTATCTTTTTAATATGCTGTTGGATTCAATTAGTATTTTATTGAGTAATTTTATATCACCCTGAACTCTCCCAATCCCGCCTGGGTTACAATCTTATGGAAGTTTTGAAATTAACAACAGTTTTACAGGTAAAGTGTTAAGATAGTAACTATACTGTATATAGCCCTTTACACGAAGGATGGTTTGATAGCATTGGGGTCACAGGATGCTTTTGGATATCAAAGGACCATTTTGTGACTGCATTGCCATGACTACATCCCCAAAGCAACAATGCCCTTATGTTATAGACAGGACCCAAGAGGCCATCTCCACCTGGTGGGAGAGAATGTACAGCAGACAACAAAATGTGGATGAAAGTATGCAATTACCAAAATTAACTTAGAAGGAAAAACAGAATAAACAAACTTGATATTCTTGTTATTTTCCTCCCAGGAAATAATTAGATGAGATGTTTACATTTATTCTTTTCTTGATTGCATCACATGCCATATTCATAGGTTTACAATCATCATATTGTAACTGGCTGTCCCTCTATAAACTGAGATGCAAATATCTTTCTCAGTCAATTATTGAAGGCTCTGCTCTATGACAAAACAAGAAATTTTGGATGCCCAGACTGGATGCCCAGTCTAGCCCTGTCTCCAAGTTGGTGAGATTATCAGCTGTCTTCAGTTCTACTTCAGTTTTCTGGCTGCAGCTGGGTACCAAGCAGGCTGGCACACAGAAACCAGGACACATCCCTGAGCACCTCTGATAACAGTTCATATGCTTTATATGCTCCACGTGTACCAGATATTGACAAGGTTGTACATGTATTAACTCAATGAATCCTCACTGCAACTCTATGAGATAGATATTATTATTAAACCCACTGACAAGTGAAGAAACTAAGGCATATAGACAATAAGAACGTTGAACAAGGTCACAAACTATTAATTAAAAGAGCCAAGATTAAAACGCAGGCTGTTGGACTTTAGAACCCACAATCAATCATTAGGCTCTATGGCTCTTTCAGTGGCTATTGATGCCAAGGTGGTTTCTTTCCCAACAGCACCAAAGCTTCACCTCCTGCCAGCTCCTGCATGTTGTTCTCAGGGAAGTCTTTCCAGTAAAACAGACTGGAGCTTCCAGGGGTGAAACATTTTCAATCTGTTGTCTGAACTACTTCCCTGAAATGCCAGACCTCCAGGTTGGAGGGCTGTGGAAGTAGACTAGGGGCAGCCCCAACTGTCATTTGGCCTGAAGTGAGACAGCACACACCCACTTTGTGGAATGGGGCAGCTTCATTACCACCCAGTTTTTGAGGGTTCATGGGGGTGGGATGATTCTTTATGGACCGATACGTATGGATTTCTTGAGGCAGAGGGTATGGGAGTTGGAGAAGAGAAGCCACGGTCTGATCTCTGTGACAGAGACTCTGCATGTTGCTGAGGAACTGTGTTAGTCTGTTTTCAGATTGCTCTAAAGAACTAACTGAGACTGGGTAATTTATGAAGAAAAGAGTTTTAATTGAATTACAGTTCCACAGGCTGAACAGGAAACATCACTGGGAGGCCCGAGGAAACTTACCGTCATGGTGGAAGGCAAAGGGGAAGCAAGGACTTTCTTCACATGGTGGCAGGAGAGAGAGAGAGCAAAGGGGAAAGTGCCACACTGCAACGTTTACACCATAAGGTCATGTGAGAACTGACTCACTATCATGAGCACAGCAAGGGGGAAAGCAGCCCCCATGATCCAATCATGTCCCACCAGCCCCCTCTTCTAATTCGACAGGAGATTTGGGCAGGGACACAAAACCAAACCATATCAGGAACACATAGGGGTGGGATGCATTTTGAACTCTTCCCTAGGGGCACACCCTCAAGGGGCTAATGCCACCATGTGGCATTGGGGCTGAGTACTCCATGCCAGTGGCTCTCCAGGGTGGGGGAAGGGGCCTAAGTTACCTACAGCTGCAAAGCAAACCAGCCAAATGTTAGTGGTGCAAATGACACCAGTGTGCATGTAGGAATTCTCCCAATCTGATGGGCTTTTCCCTGTGTCTGTATTCCCTCATGCTGCTGCTGATGCACACATGGCCTCAGGGCAGCACACCACAGGGTGAGTCCCACAGCTCAAGCACTCAAGTCCCTGTCTGCATCAAATTTGCAAATTTCCTGTTGTTTTGAGCCATGTGGTCAAACTCTGGTCAGGGAAGGAAGAGAAATCTTAACTCATGGAAGGCTCCCTGCAGCATGCTCATGAATCCTTTGCAGGCATTTCCGCAAGGAAAACAGCCAGCACAGAAGCTGTGCATCCTCTTGGGCCTGAAGTCCAAGTGTTCCAGCATGGGGACCTGTTTGCGACATCTCTCCCACAGCTCAGAACCCTTTCCCTGGGTGACTCGGGCACAGTCATATCGGCCACCACCTCAGGGACCCCAGAGCAACCTTGCCGGCCACTCTCCCTGGCCTGGTGAGAGCAGGCTTGCTTTCTCAGCCACACTCCAGCTGTGTGCTTACTTACTTGCAGTTTCACTGGGTCTCTGTTACCTAGATTGTACAAAATTAGTTAATTAAAATATACCTTACCTCAGATAGTTATCATTTTTATAGGGAGAACATTTAAGATCCAGTCTGTTAACATTTTTCAAGAATAAAATATATCATTATTAACTACAATCACTATGCTGTATGACAGATCTCTTGAACTACATACTTCAAAATATCATGCTGTACTCAATAGATACATATAATTATATCTGACAATTTAAAATAAATACGTGAATAAATTTGAAAAAAGACTACATTATAAATAGAAAAAATATTTGCTTTCATGTTATTAAATGTTGACATCATAAAAGAGTAAAAAGTAAATGAAAACATAAAAAAGTAAGTTTGGTTAGTTTGGCAGGTAATTTTCTCAGTCACGCTTTTCTCTTTATGTGACCTGCCCAGCCCCCTGCACGTTCTTGGCTCAGAGGTCCTGTTAGAGAATGTTTTCGTTCATGGAGCTCTCCAGTGGGACACAGGGAGTGGCCCTGCTTCACATGGTGCAGTCACAATGGTCTGAACCATTAGGGAAGGGGACAGTGAGTAGAGGCACAGTGCCTTGCTTCTCCTCCCTCCAGAGTCTCAGACAAAGTCTCTACTCAAACACCTTCCAAGTGTTCCATATCCTTCTGGGATGCAAAACACCGGGATAGTACCACAACTTTGTCTTGACCATATCTATGTCTTCAGGGATCTTACTGGCGCTTCCCTTACTGTCAACATTTTCTTCAATTTCATTAGTCAATTCATTCTATTCATGCCAAAAACAGTCAGCTTTCTTTCTTTTTTTCTTTTTATTATTATTATACTTAAGTTTTAGGGTACATGTGCACAATGTGCAGGTTAGTTACATACGTATACATGTGCCATGCTGGTGAGCTGCACCCATTAACTCGTCATTTACCATTAGGTATAACTCCTAAAGCTATCCCTCCCCCCTCCCCCCACCCCACAACAGTCCCCAGAGTGTGATGTTCCCCTTCCTGTGTCCATGTGTTCTCATTGTTCAATTCCCACCTATGAGTGAGAATATGCGGTGTTTGGTTTTTTGTTCTTGCGATAGTTTACTGAGAATGGTGATTTCCAATTTCATCTATGTTCCTACAAAGGACATGAACTCATCATTTTTTATGGCTGCATAGTATTCCATGGTGTATATGTGCCACATGTTCTTAATCCAGTCTATCATTGTTGGACATTTGGGTTGGTTCCAAGTCTTTGCTATTGTGAATAGTGCCGCAATAAACATACGTGTGCACGTGTCTTTATAGCAGCATGATTTATAGTCCTTTGGGTATATACCCAGTAATGGGATGGCTGGGTCAAATGGTATTTCTAGTTCTGGATCCCTGAGGAATCGCAACACTGACTTCCACAATGGTTGAACTAGTTTACAGTCCAACCAACAGTGTAAAAGTGTTCCTGTTTCTCTACATCCTCTCCAGCACCTGTTGTTTCCTGACTTTTTAATGATTGCCATTCTAACTGGTGTGAGATGGTATCTCATTGTGATTTTGATTTGCATTTCTCTGATGGCCAGTGACGGTGAGCATTTTTTCATGTGTTTTTTGGCTGGATAAATGTCTTCTTTTGAGAAGTGTCTGTTCACGTCCTTCGCCCACTTTTTCATGGGGTTGTTTGTTTTTTTCTTGTAAATTTGTTTGAGTTCATTGTAGATTCCAGATATGAGCCCTTTGTCAGATGAGTAGGTTGCGAAAATTTTCTCCCATTTTGTAGGTTGCCTGTTCACTCTGATGGTAGTTTTTTTTGCTGTGCAGAAGCTAAAGAAGGCCATTACATAATGGTAAAGGGATCAACTCAACAAGAAGAGCTAACTATCCTAAATATATATGCACCCAATACAGGAGCACCCAGATTCATAAAGCAAGTCCTGAGTGACCTACAAAGAGACTTAGACTCCCACACAATAATAATGGGAGACTTTAACACCCCACTGTCAACATTAGACAGATCAATGAGACAGAAAGTTAACAAGGATACCCAGGAATTGAACTCAGCTCTGCACCAAGCAGACCTAATAGACACCTACAGAACTCTCTACCCCAAATCAACAGAATATACATTTTTTTCAGCACCACACCACACCTATTCCAAAATTGACCACAGAGTTGGAAGTAAAGCTCTCCTCAGCAAATGTGAAAGAACAGAAATGATAACAAACTGTCTCTCAGGCCACAGTGCAATCAAACTAGAACTCAGGATTAAGAAACTCACTCAAAACCACTCAACCACATGGAAACTGAACAACCTGCTCCTGAATGACTACTGGGTACATAACAAAATGAAGGCAGAAATAAAGATGTTCTTTGAAACCAATGAAAACAAAGACACAACATACCAGAATCTCTGGGACACATTCAAAGCAGTGTGGAGAGGGAAATTTATAGCACTAAATGCCCACAAGAGAAAGCAGGAAAGATCCAAAATTGACACCCTAACATCACAATTAAAAGAACTAGAAAAGCAAGAGCAAACACATTCAAAAGCTAGCAGAAGGCAAGAAATAACTAAAATCAGAGCAGAACTGAAGGAAATAGAGACACAAAAAACCCTTCAAAAAATTAATGAATCCAGGAGCTGGTTTTTTCAAAGGATCAACAAAATTGATAGACCGCTAGCAAGACTAATAAAGAAGAAAAGAGAGAAGAATCAAACAGACGCAATAAAAAATGATAAAGGGGATATCACCACTGATCCCACAGAAATACAAACTACCATCAGAGAATATTACAAACACCTCTATGCAAATAAACTAGAAAATCTAGAAGAAATGGATAAATTCCTCGACACATACATCCTCCCAAGACTAAACCAGGAAGAAGTTGAATCTCTGAATAGACCAATAACAGGCTCTGAAATTGAGGCAATAATCAATAGCTTACCAACCAAAAAGAGTCCAGGACCAGATGGATTCACAGCCGAATTCTGCCAGAGGTACAAGGAGGAACTGGTACCATTCCTTCTGAAACTATTCCAATCAATAGAAAAAGAGGGAATCCTCCCTAACTCATTTTATGAGGCCGGCATCATCCTGATACCAAAGCCGGGCAGAGACACAACTAAAAAAGAGAATTTTAGACCAATATCCTTGATGAACATTGATGCAAAAATCCTCAGTAAAATACTGGCAAACCGAATCCAGCAGCACATCAAAAAGCTTATCCACCATGATCAAGTGGGCTTCATCCCTGGGATGCAAGTCTGGTTCAATATATGTAAATCAATAAATGTAATCCAGCATATAAACAGAACCAAAGACAAAAACCACATGATTATCTCAATAGATGAGGAAAAGGGCTTTGACAAAATTCAACAACCATTCACGCTAAAAACGCTCAATAAATTAGGTATTGATGGGACGTATCTCAAAATAATAAGAGCTATCTATGACAAACCCACAGCCAATATCATACTGAATGGGCAAAAACTGGAAGCATTCCCTTTGAAAACTGGCACAAGACAGGGATGCCCTCTCTCACCACTCCTATTCAACATAGAGTTGGAAGTTCTGGCCAGGGCAATTAGGCAGGAGAAGGAAATAAAGGGTATTCAATTAGGAAAAGAGGAAGTCAAATTGTCCCTGTTTGCAGATGACATGATTGTATATCTAGAAAACCCCATTGTCTCAGCCCAAAATCTCCTTAAGCTGATAAGCAACTTCAGCAAAGTCTCAGGATACAAAATCAGTGTACAAAAATCACAAGCATTCTTATACACCAACAACAGACAAACAGAGAGCCAAATCATGAGTGAACTCCCATTCACAATTGCTTCAAAAACAATAAAATACCTAGGAATCCAACTTACAAGGGATGTGAAGGACCTCTTCAAGGAGAACTACAAACCACTGCTCAATGAAATAAAAGAGGATACAAACAAATGGAAGAACATTCCATGCTCATGGGTAGGAAGAATCAGTATCGTGAAAATGGCCATACTGCCCAAGGTAATTTATAAGTTCAATGCCATCCCCATCAAGCTACCAATGACTTTCTTCACAGAATTGGAAAAAACTACTTTAAAGTTCATATGGCACCAAAAAAGAGCCCACATCGCCAAGTCAATCCTAAGCCAAAAGAACAAAGCTGGAGGCATCACACTACCTGACTTCAAACTATACTACAAGGCTACAGTAACCAAAACAGCATGGTACTGGTACCAAAACAGAGATATAGATCAATGGAACAGAACAGAGCCCTCAGAAATAATGCCGCATATCTACAACTATCTGATCTTTGACAAACCTGACAAAAACAAGCAATGGGGAAAGGACTCCCTATTTAATAAATGGTGCTGGGAAAACTGCCTAGCCATATGTAGAAAGCTGAAACTGGATCCCTTCCTTACACTTTATACAAAAATTAATTCAAGATGGATTAAAGACTTAAACATTAGACCTAAAACCATAAAAACCCTAGAAGAAAACCTAGGCATTACCATTCAGGACATAGGCATGGGCAAGGACTTCATGTGTAAAACACCAAAAGCAATGGCAACAAAAGCCAAAATTGACAAATGGGATCTAATTAAACTAAAGAGCCTTCTAAGTATTCAAATGATCCATGATCATAATATGTAATATCTTATTACCTTACAATTTCTAATTTTTTTCTGTCTGATCTGTTTTCGTTTTGTTTTGTTTTGTTTTGTTTTGTTTTTGAGATGGTGTCTCAATCTGTTGCCCAGGCTGGAGTGCAGTGGTGCAATCTTGGCTCACTGCAAGCTCCGCCTCCTGCGTTCACTCCATTCTCCTGCTTCAGCCTTCCAAGTAGCTGGGATTATAGGCACCTGCCACCACACCTGGCTAATTTTTTGTATTTCTAGTAGAAACGGGGTTTCACTGTGTTAGCCAGGATGGTCTCGATCTCCTGACTTTGTGATCCTCCCATCTCGGCCTCCCAAAGTGCTGGGATTACAGGCATGAGCCACTGCGCCCAGCCTCTCTGATTTGTTTTAGTAATCACTTTACACCTGAAATCTAGACCATAAAGATGGATCTAAGTGGCTTAGATGATAGACCATAAGAGGGGAATACAATTAGTTAAATGATCTACAGGACTACACAATGAAAATAAACTTGCTAAACAAAATATACATATAATTTTCTGTTACTGAGACCTCAGTGAGTTTTCTCCGCTGGGAATAATGGGAACACAGACTTATTTAAAAAATAAAAGGGAAAAATACACCATTCCCAAGAACAATATTTTATTTGCAGATATATACTTTAATGCTCAAGGAGTTCATGAATGTCTCATTATAAAAGGTTTGAGCAACACCAAAATGCATAGGATAAAAAAGTTAAGGCCCTTCCTTACCCCTAACCACCCTGACTACACTCTCCCCATCCATACAGGTGGCATGCTGCATTTTACAGCTGGTGGGTACAATGTCTTTCTCATCCAAGTACACATACAGAGGTACATGTGCACATTATTGTTTTATATCTACTATATCTAGTATTTTTTCCTAAATAGCAAATATTAATACATGCATCAAGATAAAATACCATTATGACAGTACATTTTCCCTTAGATCATAATAGTTTCATGAAAGTTTCTTTCTCTTGTAAAAAGCTCTAAGATATCGTACACATTTGTACACATCGTGTATATATTGCACATATTTGTGGCCAGCTTTATTCATACCTTTTTTTTTCCCTTCTTCATACTTCTGAACTATGGGTTTGGATTTATAAATATGAAATTATTTGTTTAAAGTTTATTCAAAGTGTTTGCATATTTCAAATTTTGATACCTATTATAAAATTTTCTTCCAAATAATTTCCCCATTCTCTGTTTCCCCCCAACTGGATTGTCTCCTGTATCCTGTCTACCTTTCTTCCTCACTAATAAGTCATCAAATGTTTTACTAGGAAAATGGTGGTGCCAAGTTGGCGTCACAAATCTGAGCTTCCCTTCTCTCTCAAACTGTTGCCCTGAAAATCTTTGCCGGTGTGATAGTTCTGTAATTCTTTCGAAAGTACTTATTTTAAATATATCTGATTCAGTTTATATTTGTTGTCAATAGAAGGTTGAAACAAAGCAAGCGATCAACCATTTCTGGAAGCACACTGTTTTACAATTTATAATCATAGGGAAGGTAAAAAGATATATACCTGTATTCATTATACAGGGCTGGGGCAAGGAAAGAGTAATGGATATATTATAGATTGGACAGTAGAAAAATATGCATAATATAATATCAAGTGAAGATGTACACTGCCGTGTAATCTCTAATTTCCTCTATGTTTAAGTATAATATGTACTTCAATAATCAAGAAAGAAAGATGCAAATAATTTTAAAATATTTGTGATGAGATTATTAATGTAATTGCTATAAAATTGCTCTAAAATTATGCAGATTTTTCTCTAAAATATTTGATAGTTGAATAGGGTGTCTGAAATAAATTAAATAGAGATAACTTACTTCTCCCTTTTGAAATATAGTTGGCTGTATACAGAACTGTCACAGATGCAATACAAAATGTCTGCTAAAATAAATTAACCATTGGATTGAAGTCAATGGAGAATAATGGAGAGAATTGGAACCGAACAGCTAATTCTCTGAAGAGCAGAACTCAGCAAGATAAAATGGCTTCTGTGGCTACTCTCACCCTGGGAGCATTTGCTATCTGAGCAACAGGCAGGCGGCTGACAGGCTGGAAGTTATTGCACGTACTGCAAGGAGACACAATTCAGAAGAGTTGTAGGCATACAGGTGTCGACCGGAGAACTTGGGCACATGATTTTAAAAATAATTCTGGAATTGCACAGCATAGGGAGATTAAAAACTTCAGCAGAAAGTCACAGTAAAAAAAAAATACATCTCAGAAATATTGTGAAATGCATATTATAATTCCACATTATAAAACCCACCAAGAGCAACAAAAGAAAACTGATATATCTTCTGGTAATAGTTTAGATGCAGAAAATTATTTGATGGAATCCAATAGTTCAGTATAAAAATTCTCAGTGAACTAAAATAGAAGGTTCTTTCTTTAATCTGATGTCTGGCCCCACAGTCATGCTCCCTCACACTCAGTGTTGACAGGGTGGCAGCTATCCCCGTGACTACCAGGGACAACACAGGGAGGCTCCCTCTCACGCTTGTATTCAACAGTGCACTGGACGGCCCAGCCAGTGCCATGAGGTGAGGGAAAGAAGGAAGAGGCATGCAGATTAGAAAAGAAGAAATAAAATAATTATTATTCACAGGTGACAAGCTTATACACAAAGAAAATCCAAAGAAGCACATAAAAAAATACATGTGTAAATTTAGGCCAGGTGCTGTGGTTCACGCCTGTAATGCCCGCTATTTGGGAGGCCACCGAGGCGGGTGGATCGATGAGCTCAGGAGTTTAAGAACAGACTGGGCTACATGGTAAAATCCCTTTTCTACCAAAAATACAAAAATTAGCCAGACTTGGTGACTATTAGCCTCCCAGCTACAGGGGAGGCTGAGGTGGGAAGATCGCTTGAACCTGGGAGGTGGGGGCTGCAGCAAGCAGAGATCATACCACTGCACTGCAGCCTGGGCAACAGACCTCATCTTAAAAAAAAAAGCAAAATTAATTCAGTACAATAAATGCTGACATGGCAAAATAAATCAATTATATATATTGCAACAAATAAAAAATGGAGAGTATAAAACATTATTTAACATAGTTTAAAAAGAATCAAATACCCAGGGATACATGTAAAGAAATATACAAAATTCCCACACATGGAAAAATACAAAACATTATATAAGAAAATTAAAAATAAATAAATAAATGGAGGATATATCACATTCAAGGTTTGGTAGATTTCATATCATACAGATATCAACTCTTCTTAAAATATAGATACAATGTTATTGCAGTAGATATGCAGGAGGTATTCTTTTAACTCTAAAATTATTTTTAAAAATCTGTTTTTTATGAAAATCCAAATTAAAAAATAGTTCGTCTAGAGCAATTCTGTACAGGAAAAATAGAATAAGAAGGAAGAAGAGGAGAAGCAGGAGGAGAGGAGGGGAAGGCATAGGAAATGAAGAAAGAGAACAAAACTGCAGGACTCATAAAACCAGATATTAAATCTTATTTTGAATTTGTAGTTAGTAAGAAAGTCTAGTATTAGTGTGTGAATTGACAAATTGACCAGTAAACACAATAGAATCCAGAAACAGGCCCAAACACATATAGTCACCTGATTAATGGCAGTAATAATACTGAAGTGTCATCAAGAAAAGATGGTCCTTTCAATAAGTTAAGCTGGGTTAATTAGATATCCATCCAGCAAAGGAAAATGACTCTTAACCTCTATCTCACACCATATATAAAAATCAGTTTTTGGTGACTGTATATCCACATTTAGAAGATAAAAATAAAACATATAATAATACATAGAACAATATATTTATGCCTTGATATAGGCAAAGATTTTTATAAACAGTTCACAAAAACCACTGACCATAAAGGGTAAAAAATTATATATTTCTCTGAACTACTATAAAATTCTATTAATCAAGGACACCATTACAAGAGTAAAAAGCCAAGCACAGATTATGAGATTATTTCTATATCAGGCTCAATTCTCATTAATCAAAGTAGTTATGTTTTATAAAAATGTTGCAGTTAGTGAATATTGAACAATTACTCTATTGTTCATAAATTCATATTTTATATATATATATATATAATATCTCACATGCATTATAATCCTAAGTCCTGGTAGATGCTATTTTCTTTATTTCACGAAAAAAGAAAATGATGTTCAGCATGTTTAAGTGACTTGTTTGAGGTCCCATGCTAACACCTGTCAGAATTGCAATTCACATCCTGTCCAACTGACCCGACATCCAGAGTTCCTTGCACTGCACTGCCCTATACCCTCTCCACCTTCTGCTCATCTCTGTATGAAGCTGAAACAGGAAGACAGCGCATCACATTTTTCAAGCTCAGCTGATAACATGTGTGTAAGAAAACTCCACTCACATTTTTTACCACCATGCACATGTATGTGAATGATCACAAAGATGCCGTAAGTGTTGATTTTGTAGTTACTGATAAATTTTGGTGAGTTAATGAATGTGCCAATACAGAATCTATGAATGAAAGTTGACTCTCTTTATATCCTTACAAAGGAAACATCTCCAAAATATATAAAGAGGTCCTCAAAATCGGTAAGTAAAAATAATTTAACTCTATTTAAAAATAGACAGGTGTTTTGTATCAGCACTTCACTAAGTGGATATAAAATTTCCTAATAAACACAAAGCTTCTCAACTTCATTAATCCTCAGGAAAATGCAAGTAGAAGCATGAGGAGAAGATCACGTTATTGTTGGAGGATACTGGTGGGAAGACTCTCACAGTGCAGTTGAAAGTACAAACAGTTCGGTTAAATGGCAGCATCTACTTTTGCTGAACATGCTCATATTCTATGTCCTAGCCATTCCCTTGCTAGGCATGTATGTGTAGATTTGTTCATCAGAAGAAACACAGAAGAGTTTAACTGGAAATGGCCAAAATTGTGGGAGAAAACAAACATCAACAGTAGAATAAGTAAACCGTAGTATACTTATATTTGTAATACTATAAAGCAACAATAATGAGAAAAATAAAATTATAAGAGTAAAGTGTTCAGTAGAAATAAAATTATCTAAACACAGATAAATGGGATCTATCTTTGAGGAAAGATTAAGACAGTGAAAATGAATACTGTCTCCTAGGTTTCATACATATATTTTTAGTTGAAAGGTTTTGTACAAGCCTATTGGTTTAACCACAGCAATTAATAACATGTTCTTCTGCCTTTCTCAGTACAATATACAAATAATCTTTATGTCATTCGAGAGATAATTTCTTTAAGGGAAAAACAAATGAAATGGAAGTAAATTTTATAAGCAAAAATTAAGTAATGGATTTTTTGAAAAATAGAAAATAATATGAAAGATTTAACAACTGTCTTCAAAGTTCAATCGATGATAACATGACAAATAAGCTGCCAATATTTCTCCTAGCTTCAAAGAAGTGATGGAAGAATTTGGCTTATTTGAATGTAGAAGTTTAAACAATGCAGCAGTTTAGTGACAAGGTGGCCTCATATTTGACAGTTTTGAGAGCTCTCCTACTGGCCCAAGAAATTGGAAGTACCCCCTCCATGACCCCTTCCACACATAAGGGAGCCATATGTAAACCTGTAGCAGAATGTCTAAAATTTATTGCAGCTTTATATCTCATTGTGTGATATATCCATTTGTTACAGTATATTTTAAGTAATCTAGTTAATTTTTTCTTAAAAATCTTTGAAAGGAAAAGAGTAACTAAAAATAAATGTACCGTTCTTTTCCCTTTTGGATATTCACATCCCAGTATGAGAAACATTGGCTTGAGTGATCTTCAGTTTTGAAAGGAAAGATTTTAAAAGACAGCTTATTCTGCTGTATAACATAGTGCCTATAGTTTACAATGTAATGATGCACACTTCAACATTTGTTAAGAGAGGGAATCTCATGTTAAGAAGTGTTCTTACCACAAACAACAACAATAACAACAATACAACAAAAACAAAGGACACAAGTGAACTTTGGAAGGTGCTGGCTCTGTGTATTACCTTCTGTGTTAGTCCTTTTTGGAGCTGCTAATAAAGACATATCTGAGACTGGGTAATTTGTAAAGAGAAAGAGGTTTCACAGACTCACATTTCCATGTGGCTGGGGAGGCCTCACAATCATGGTGCAAGGTGAAAGGCATGTCTTACATGGCAGTAGACAGGAGAGAAAATGAGAGCAAAGTGAAAGGGGTTTTCCCTTTAAAATCATCATATCTCATGAGACTTAATCACTACCAGGAGAACAGTATGAGGGAAACAACCCCCATTATTCAATTATCTCCCAGCAGGTCCCTCCCATGGGAATTGTGGGAGCTACAATTCAAGATGAGATTTGGGTAGGGACACAACCAAACCATGTCATTCCAACCCTGGAGCCTCCCAAATCTCATGTTTTTACATTTTAAAACAATCATGCCTTCCCAACACTTCCCCAAAGTCTTAACTCATTTCACCATTAACTCAAAAGCCTGCAGTCCAAAGTCTCATCTGAGACAAGGCAAGTCCCTTTTGCCTCTGAGCCTGTAAAACCAAGAGCAAGTTAGTTACTTCCTAGGTGCAATGGGGGTACAGAAATTAGATAAATATTCCTATTCCAAATGGGAGAAATTGGCCAAAACAAAGGGGCCAAAGGCCACATTCAATTCTGAAATCCAGTGGGGCAGTCAAATCTTAAAGCTCCAAAAAGATCTCCTTTTACTCCATGTCTCACATCCAGGTCACACTGATGAAAGAGGTAGACTCCCATGGCCTTGGGCAGCTTCACCCCTGTGGCTTTTCAGGGTATAATCCTCCTCCTGGCTGCTTTCACAGGCTGGCATTGAGTGCTTGTGGTTTTTCCAGGCACATGGTGCAAGCTGCTGATGGATTTACCATTCCGGGGACTGGAGGACGGTGGCCTCCTTCTCACAGCTCCACTAGACAGTGCCCCAGTAGGGACTCCATGTGGGGACTCCCACCCCACATTTCCCTTTCACACTGGCCTAGCAGAGGTTCTCCATGAGGCCACCACCCCTGCAACAAACTTCTGCCTGGGCATCCAGATGTTTCTGTACATCCTCTGAAATCTAGGTGAAGGTTCTCAAACCTCAATTCTTGACTTCTGTGCACCTGCAGGCTCAACATCAAGTGGAAGCTGCCAAAGCTTGGGGCTTGCACCCTCTGAAGCAACAGCCTGAGCTGCACCTTGGCCCCATTTAGCTGTGGCTGGAGTGACTGGGATGCAAGGCACCAAGTCCCTAGGCTGCACACAGCAGGGAGGACTAGGGCCTGGTCCATAAAACCATTTTTCCCTCCTAGGCCTCCAGGCCTGTGATGGGAGGTGCTGCTGTGAAGACTTCTGACATGTCCTGGAGACATTTTCCCCATAATCTTGGTGATTAACATTTGGCTCCTCATTACTTATGCAAATTTCTGTAGCCAGCTTGAATTTCTTCTCAGAAAATGGGTTTCTATTTTCTATTGCATTGTCAGACTGAAAATTTTCCAAACGTTTATGCTGTGTTATCCTTTTAAAACTGAATGTTTTTAACAGCACCCAAGCCACCTCTTGAATGCTTTGCTGCTTAGAAATTTCTTCTGACAGATACCCTAAATCATCTCCCTCAAGTCAAAGTTCCACAAATCTCTAGGGCAGGGGCAGAATGCCACCAGTCTCTTTGCTAAAACATAGCAAGAATCACCTTTACTCCAGTTCCCAGTAAGTTCCTCATCTCCATCTGAGATCACCTCAGCCCAGATTTCATTGTCCATATAATTATCAGCATTTTGGTCAAAGCCATTCAACAAGTTTCTAGGAAGTTCCAAGCTTTACCACATTTTCCTGTCTTCTTGTGAGCCCTCCACACTGTTACAGCCTCTGCCTGTTACCCAGTTTCAAAGCTGCTTACACATTTTCGGGTGTCTCTACAGCAGCACCCCACTATCTGGTATCAATTTACTATATTAGCCTGTTTTCATGCTACTGATAAAGACATAACTGACACTGGGTAATTTATAAAGAAAAAGAGGTTTAATGGACTCACAGTTCCACGTGGCTGGGAGGCACCACAATCATAGCAAAAGGTGAAAGGCATGTCCTATATGGCAGCAGACAATAGAGAAAATGAGAGCCAAGCAAAAGGGGTTTCCCTTTATAAAACCATCAGATCTCGTGAGACTTACTCACTACCAGGAGAATAGTATGGGGGAAACAACCCCTATGTTTCAATTATCTCCCACCAAGTCCCTCCTACTACACATGGAAATTGTAGGAGCTACAAATCAAGATTAGATTTGGGTGGGGACACAGCCAAAACATACCACCTTCATTGTGGTAATATCATTCATATTTTCATATGTCTAAACTCATCAAATTGTACACATTAAATATGCACATCTCTTTGAATATTCACTATATCTCACTAAATCTATTTTTGTTCAAGACCTAACTACTACCAGTAGCTCAGAATATGATCTTCTTTGGAAATAGGGTCATTGTAGACGGTAATTAGGTAGGATGAGTAAAATGAGGTCATGCTGGAGTAGGATAAGCCCTTAATCCAATATGACTGGTGTCCTTATAGAGAGCAGACACACGGAGACAGAGACACACACAGGAGAATCCACGTGATGACAGATGCAGGGACAAAAGTGTTGCTGCTGTAAGACAAGGAATGGCAAGGACTGCTGGCAAACATCGGAAGCTGCGGTGAGGCAAACAGGGACTCTCCTCTACGTGTTTCAGAGGAATCCTAGTTCTGTTGACACTTTGATTTTGGATTTCTGGTGTCCAAAAATGTGAGACAATACATTTCTGTTTTTTTTAAATGAAAAATAAAAAGAAACCTTAGTATAAGGTTCTATTGTGTGAGGAATACTTGCAATGTAGCTGGAATGTGTTTTAAGTGTCAACACCAGGAACTTCAACCCATAAATACTTATAAAGATGCATGAAACAGTGGAAAGGTTTAGATTCAGCAGCGATAGTAAATTTCAGTTGCCCAGAGCCTGGGTAGCTTTTTCTGGCACAGTATCCCCAGAAGAAAAGTGCCAGGTGCAGCTCATTTGTACACCGTTGTCCACAGGCTTTCAAGTCGACAGGAGCTCAGTCAGAGATAGACATGGCTTACTGAGAGAGGGGATGTCTATGGAGATCATTTAATCACTTTATTTTTTTTCTCAAAACTACTGTCTTTCAAAGTGCATCATTGGTTTTCACTTATCTGATCTGGATTATATAATAGACAGATCCCTTAGCTATTTTAGACATAGTTTAATTATTAATGAACAATCTCACCTTCAGAGAGCAAAAACCCCAGTCTACGTAACATCAAATGTTCAAAACCTCATCTGTTTTACAGCTCTGTCTCTTCCCTCAGCTCAGGTCTCACTCAGCCTTGAAACCTGCAGTTTGAAGAGGCACCATTTATCTCCCTAATTACTTCACCTCCTAGTATTTGAGGTGTTTATTATATAGTTGATAAAGTCTGAGAATCACAATCTTTGAGGGAAATATGTGTTTCAATGTTCATCTTTGACAATGAGTTGTCATTGACAGAAAATTGACCACTGACACATCTTGTAAAAAACAAAAAAAAACAAAAAGAGCAAATTTTGAAAACAAATCATGAGTCAATTTAAATTAGGGGCCAACTTGGAACCACACCTACCCAGCCATAGACCCCTCTGACATACACTGCAGCACGTGGGTCCTATGAAAAGAGCAATGTGCAAACAAGATCCAAGAAGTGTCTTATCTGAAATATGTTTATTCTCTACAACAGGACATATTAGGAAATGGTCCCAGTATATTCTGGTATAAATAAAAGTGTCATTAATGAGATATGAGCATAACTGTATACATTTAAAGTACAAACACATCAGAATTACAATACAACAAAAGACTTACAACAAAGAACAATGAAAAAATACATTCAAGGCAAATGATGATAAATTTAGGAAATTGGCTCAGATGTGAGAGTAATGAAGAAAGGATGAAGACAATAAAAAGGAATGCAGAACAGACACTGTATTATTACAATTAACTAACAATAATATATTATCTTCAAAATTATAATTAATAGAAGATAAAAGTGGAAATAAAAACATTAATCAAGATATGCAAATGAAGGACCTTATCCTAAAAATAGACTGTCAAAATAAATTATATTAAGTGAAATTCAATGCACCTGATACATGACAACTTTAAGACAGACATATGAAATGACTTTGGTTTAAAATGTTTCTCCTTTGAATTTGTTAATAATTCAGACGGCAATGATCCTTAGATAAACAGATGTAAATAAAATGCACTCATATATTTGAAGAGTAGATCACATATATGCTCTGAATTCACATCATCTATTGTGAATCATATTAAATATAAAAAGATTTTACCTTTAAATGGCAAAGGGTTGAAGATATCTCAAAGAACTGATTGAAGTCTGAATGAAAAAGCTAATTTTCTCACTTACTGTATGTGATAGTTTGTAAATTAATGCATCGGTTAACACCTTGATTCCCTCACCTTTCAGCAGCATAATACAAAGGTTATCATAATAAATAATAAATGTATTGTATATATACACTTTATATATACAGTAAATAGTACATTTATTTTATATGATTTATATACAATAAATAGCACATTGATTGTATATTTTATATATATATATATATATATATATATATATATATATATATAACAAATTCCCATCAGTGAATCAAATATAGTAGGGATAAAACTAATGATTATTGCATTGTTAATTATTGTTGTCATTACCAGTATATCTACTTGCATTTTCTGAAAAAGTATTCCAAGGAGTTGCATTCTTAAAAGTTTATGTAACTTTGTTGTTAGCATTTGGAGTAAATATTTTATCTTCTCTAGATTGAATAGGATTATGTCTTGCTCATTAATATGACCAATAATTATTTGACACTTTGTGCATTGCATTCTGTCAGAAAATATATTTAATCTATTTGGGTTTTTGAAGATAATATTTATATACTTTCAGTGCTGGACAAAGTAGTATTTTATCTGAAATGTGTGGATCAAAGATGTCTCCAGAAAACCAGCATTACATTCATTAATTTGAGGTAAAATCATGGAACCATCAGAAAGCTTAGCTTAAAAACTAATTGCAATCAGACATTTGGATATAAACAGAAAATAAAATATTTATTAGTAAAATTAATAAACATTCATAATTGTATAAATGAAGAAATGTTGAATAATTAATTGCACTGATCCAAGTAAATAAGTAAAATATGAATCCTACTATGTATTAAAAATTGTATCAAAAACTAGGTCCCAAATTTTATGTTAAGAGTCTCAGTTTTTGAGCTAAGCGGCAGGTATTTGGCATACTTTGAGCAGTGCATTTGTAGTCTGAGAATTGTTTCTTAAAATGGCACTCAACATTTTATTGCATTAGAAATTTGTGTTCCAGCTCTTGCAAAGTGGATTTTTTCCTTAACATTAACCTTCATAATTTCATTAGTTAGTTGTAGACTTTCTGGAGAAGTCTGTCACTAGGAGAATGCTCACAGCCTTAAATCCTGTAATACGATATTACCTAAAATTATCTTTGTGATTGTCAGAAAGAAAGGCATCAAGTTATGATAGTGCTACAAATTGATCAACAATAAAGGTTTGTTAGGCATCTTCTATTTGGTGGACTTTGTGCTAATACATCATATTTCATGCTCAATGTATACACAGTTTTTCTTTAATTACTTAAGCAATAGCCAAACAAGTTTAGATAACTTTGAAGTAAAATTTGGGTTTAAATTTACTTTAATATAGTTCATCTGACACTATTGATTTCATCTTATATTATATTCATATAAACTGTATTTTTTCCCATTGATTCTCAACATACCTATAATAGTAACATGTTTCTAAAATACAATAGTGATTAAACTAATTTCATAATTAAAAGATTTTGAAGACTCACGGAAACATATAGCCTTGTTACCATATTAATTACGGGTATATTTCTCAGGCAGTTTTCTTCTATATTTGTTGAGATTCTATCTGACACAGTCTTGAGGCATAGAACTAACCATACCTTCTTTAGGGGGGAAAAAAGTGAAGAAATTCTCAAGCAGAAAGTAGAGGGTGAAGGGGCTGCTTTTTTTATCACATATATGTGAAAGTTTTTTAGAGAAAAAAATAATTCCACAAAACTATTTTAAGATTAAATTGAAGAAAAGCATTCAGAATAACATTGCAGCCATTATAAGTGGCATTGTAACCTGCATTTTCAAATGCAGGCATTTCTTTTAAAGCAGGAATCTTTTCAAAGGAATTGAATCACACCCAC
Organism: Homo sapiens; assembly: GCF_000001405.40. Lineage (NCBI taxonomy): Eukaryota > Metazoa > Chordata > Mammalia > Primates > Hominidae > Homo > Homo sapiens. The sequence goes on along the minus strand of NC_000007.14, from coordinate 49,102,595 downwards.
AACTCACTGGGTGCATACCATTACTGGTTCTATGGTAATGTGAAGAAAGCTCTTCTTTCTACCCTCAGGAATAAGAAAAAGCTTTTATAAAATATGTAGAAATACTCAGATCTCTTTGCTAGTCGACTCCTCTATTTGAACTCTCTTCTAAAATGAAACACTGTGTTTTATTGTTTATTGTTTATATTCTCTATTATGTATTGTGATGTGAGAAAATTACAAGACCAGGAAAAGTGTCAGAGAGAAAAAAAAGATTATTGAAAGCAATTTTTATTAACGAATGTGTAGCTCCAGGTTGAAATTAAGATATACAACTATATTAAAATCTATTTTTGAATTAACACTTACATTTGAATATCTTATGGAAAATTTAACTTATTCTTTTAAGTGTGACACACCTTGTTTACTACATCATTACTTTTCTAATAAAATAGTTGTTTTGATATGTTGACTTTTGACTATTTGCAGGTTCTTAGGTATGTAGATATTGTAGTATAAAAGCCTATATAGGAAATAAAGAAAAGCCCTGTTTTGTTCACCATTACTAGTGAAAGCATCAGGTGAAAAGAATTTGTTTTAAAGAATCTTATTATACGACTTTGAATAACTTCCTAAAAATCTCTCAAAAAATAGTTCTTCGATCTCCAGATCTCTTCTTTTGATCATGATATGAGATTAAAAACCAATTAAAAGCTTGGGATTGGCAAAGATTTTTTTTTAGAAAAGACAAAATATATTGACTCTAAAGGAAAATTGGTAAATTGGACTTCACTAAAATAAAAAAAAAATCTGCTTTCTAAAAAACAAAAGAAAATATGAAGTACAAGTACAGATTGGAAAAAAATACTTGTAACACATAGCATCTGACAAAGAACTTGCATCCAGAATAAATAAAGTTATAATTAAATAATAATAAGACAAATAATGTACTCACAAATAGAGGGGCAAAAATTTACAGGGACACTTTAGAAAGGAAGATATATAAATGGCCAATAAACACATAGAAAAATGCTCACTGTCATTGGTCGTCAGATTGAATTAACTCACAATGTTCTGCCTGTGCATATTCATGAGATGTGGTAAAATTTTAAAAGGCTGACTTTCATGTGCGTCCGTGTGAAGAGACCACCAAACAGGCTTTGTGTGAGCAATAAAGCTTTTAATCACCTGGGTGCAGGCTGGCTGAGTCCGAAAAGAGAGTCAGCGAAGGGAGATAGGGGTGGAGCCGTTTTATAAGATTTGGGTAGGTAAAGGAAAATTACAGTCAAAGGGGGGTTGTTCTCTGGCGGGCAGAGTGGGGGTCACAAGGTGCTCAGTAGGGGAGCTTTTGAGCCAGGATGAGCCAGAAGAAGGAATTTCACAAGACAATGTCATCAGTTAAGGCAGGAACAGGCCATTTTCACTTCTTTTGTGGTGGAATGTCATCAGTTAAGGCAGGAACCGGCCATCTGGATGTGTAAGTGCATGTCACAGGGTATATGATGGCTTAGCTTGGGCTCAGAGGCCTGACACTGACAATAACAATTTTGATGAGGATGTGGAGCAAATAGAACTCATATATTACTGGTGAATATATAAAATGATACATCCACTTAAAAGAACAATTTAGAAATTTCTTACAAAGTTAAACATATCTTTACATAAGAATAAGCAATTCCACCCCTACCCCAAAAAAGGGAAAACATATGTTCACAAAAATAATTGTACATGAAACTTCACAGTGGCTTTATTCTTAATACCCTCAAACTAGAAAGAACTCAAATGTCTGACAACTGAAAGGATAAAAGCATTGGAGCAAAGTCCTACAATAGAACACAAATAATAAGTCTAACAGGATTTAACTACTGATTCACAAAACTACATGGCTGTATGTTAGAGTTTTTTTTTTTAATTTTGTTGTACATATACCTACTTTCTGCTTGATACCAATCAGAGGAAATAAACAGTAGTTCATCCTTGAATGGCAAGGAGAGTAATTCACCTTCACCATCTTGCTATAGAGCAGTGTTAACTCCTGATCTCCTGTTATTGTAGAAGCTACAGAGACTTTGTGTATTTTTTCTTTGAAAAAGTATCACATAAGTCCATATTATAATAAAGTCCAGCTAATTGGTGAACTAGGAGTAGCAGATATGTACTCTACATGACTCAAAGATTGATACACCTGAGAATCAGTCAGGTGTTTGGAATCTAGTCCTCTCCTGCATTGCCAGTGTAACCCCTGTTCAGGTAAAGAACAGGTTGTTGCAGCTTGCAGTAAGAAAGATAGTGGTGTTTATCAGGCTTCAAAAAGTTATGGAAGCAGCATAACATTTGGAAATATTGAGGCAACCTATTCACTGAGAGATGCTTTCAGCCTCAAGTGGGTCCAGTGCAAGAGAATGCTCTGCAGCATACCTAGGCTATAGAGCAAGTTGCTCTGCCACTTGAGCCTAATGGCCAGAAGATCGGAAAATGCTAACGATGTTGTAGGAAATGATGTTAAGTGAGTCTCTGACAAGCCCCAGTGAGACCGGCACATACTTCTCGAGTTCTGGTGCAAGGTTATGCTCTGCTTGAAAATCAGCTCCTTGTGTGTCACTGACACCTAGTAGAAATTAGGCTTCTGATGGAAAAAAAAAGTTACTTTTCCCTGAACTGTCTTGTCCATCATGAGCTGTGTGTTTTTGAAACTTCTGAATCATACTTTAGACAGGTTCAATAGCAATCTGCTGTATAATGAAATACAGTGTCAGGCTCTAGGCTTGAGCTGGTTCAAAAGACATAAGTAAATTAAATAAATAGGTATACCAGACTCCTACGCCACCTAGAGAGAACTGGAGTCACTGCCTCTTGTTCACCCACTTTAGTGGCTTTATAGTTAACTGATAGAGACTAAGGGATGGCCCTAAATGAAGTGGTAAAATAAAATTTTCTCAAAAGGGAGATCTAGGGGACAATACACTTGGTGTCTACTCTGTCTGGAATGTTAGGTGACCTGCAGCATGCAAACACATTGGTACAGCAGTGAATTGTTTGGCTGGTTGGCCAGGGGTATAGAAAGGGCAAGATCAGAAGATTGGTGGCAAGAGATCTATAGAAGAAGCATGGATGGCCATATGGTGGAAAAGGTGTGGCTCTGAGTGTCCCTTGACAATGTCCACCACAGGGAATACCTAGCAGATAAGTCATGCGGTGACCCAAAGTACAGAACGGCCAGTCTTGTGGATGTTTTCTAGCCTCTCTGCTCAGCTACTCCATGGCTTTTGCAATGCATCCATGAGCACGGTGGTCATAATGAAGAGATCCACAATTCTCAACAAGTATGTCTCCCCAGAAGTTTGGATTTGGGTCTGAGACATTTCAAGTCTCGATCCATGTTAACATCTTCTGCCTGTCACTGACTGAGCCTTAAAGTACAAGAAAAGATTGTGAAATTGGCATGCTTTCAAAAACAATCAGAAATGGCAAATGGACAACTGGCCATTGTGGCCATTGTGTTTTCAATAACTTTTGTTTACAAGTTCAGTTTACCTCTCAGGCTATGTTTAATCTCTTCCCTTGTGCACCATAAGAATCTCTTTTGTAACTATGATAATACATTCTTGTTTATTTTTAACTTTTCTTACATTGTAGTTGTATATATTTATGGAGTACTTGAGATGTTTTGATATAGGCATGAAGTGCATAATTATCACATCGTGGAAAACGGGGTATCCATTCCCTTAAGCACTTATTTTTTTTGTGTTATAAACAATCCAATTATACTCTTAGTTATCTAAAAATGTGCAATTAAATTATTATTGATTATAGTCACCTGTTGGGCTATGCAACTATCTCTTCAGTATACTGATTTCCTTTCCTTTGGGTGTGTACCCAGCAGTGGGATTGCTGAATGATATGGTAGCTTTTAGTTTTCAGAAGAAGTTCCCAACTGTTCTTCATAGTGGTTGTACAAATTTACATTTCCCTGAATGGTGTAGGAGGGTTACCATTTCTGCACATCTTTGCCAGCATTTATCATTTGGATATAAGCTATTTTAATTTGGGTGAGATATGTCACTATAGTTTTGATTTGCATTTCTCTGATGGTAAATGATGTGGATCACCCTTTCATATGCCTGTTTGCCATTTGTATGTTTTCTGTTGAGAAATCTCTATTCAAATCTTTTGCCCATTTTTGATCAGATTATTAGTTTTTTTTTCCTATGGTTGTTTGAACTTCTTACATATTCTGGTTATTAATCATTTGTCTGATGGGTAGTTTAAAAATATTTTCTCCCATTCTGTGGGTTGTCTCTTCACTCTGTTGATTGTTTTCTTTCCTGTGCCCAAGTCTTTTTTTTTTTTTTTTTTTTTTTTTGAGACAAAGTCTCACTCTGTTGCCCAGGCTGGAATGCAGTGGCGAGATCTCTGCTCACTGCAAACCCTGCCTCCTGGGTTCACGCCATTCTCTGCTTCAGCCTCCCGAGTAGCTGGGACTACAGGCACCATGCCCGCTGCCATGCCCGGCTAATTTTTTGTATTTTTAGTAGAGACGGGGTTTCACCATGTTAGCCAGGGTGGTCTCGATCTCCTGACCTCGTGATCCACCCGCCTCAGCCTCCCGAAGTGCTGGGATTACAGGCGTGAGCCACTGCACCCGGCTGCTGTGCCCAAGCTTTTTAACTTAACTTTTTAAGCCTGAGCTCTATGTTGGCCCCTTTTAGCCATAGCTGAAGCTAGAGCAACTGGAATGCAGGGCACCATATCTCGAGGCTGCACAGAGCAGCAGGGCTTGGGCCCTGCCCACAGAACCATTTTACCTTCCTAGGCCTCCAGGCTGTAATGGGAGAAGCTGCCCTGAAGATCTCTGAAATGCCTTGGAGACATTTTCCCCATTTCTTTAGCTATTAACATTCGGCTCCTTGTTACTGATGCAGCCGGCTTGAATTTCTTCCCAGAAAATGCTTTTTTATGTTCTACTACATTGTTTGGGGGCAAATGTTCCAACCAAACCTTTATGCTCTGCTTAAGACTTAACATGATTTGTCCATATTTGCTTTGGTTGCCTGTGCTTGTTCCTTTATAAATTACCCAGTCTTGGGTAGTTCTTTATAGCAGTGTGAAAATGGACTAGTCCACTACCCCTTGCATCAGCATGCCCTGAGTGGGAGACATGGAGTCAAAGGACATATTTTGGAGCTTTAAAATTTAATGAGTGCCCTGCCATGTTTTGGACTTGCATGGGGCCTGCAACCCTTTTGTTTTGGCCAATTTCTCCCACTGGGAATGGGAACATTTACCCAATGCCTGTACCCCCGTTGTGTCTTGGAAGGCTTTCTAGATATTTGAAAGGACTTGAGTGTTGTGATCTAAGCTGTATTTTCTTTAGGGGGCATCTCAAAGCCAGAAATGTGTGCTTCTTATAGATTCACAGAGGTACTGCCCTGTAATCTTGGACAAGATCCGGGAGAATTCTCTGGATTACAAGGAGAAGACTCTTGTTCTCTTTTCTTACTTTCTTCCAAAGAAAGGGAGTCTCTCTCTCTCTCTGTCCTGTGCCACCTGAAACTGGAGGTAAAGTAACACAAGCACCCCTGTGGCTACCACCATTAGGACTGTACTGGGTCAGAATTGAAGCCAGTATAGCTCTAGGTCCCACCCATGGCCTGCTATAGCTATTCCCTGTCTACTGCCTGTGTTCAATCAGGGACCTGGGGCTCTCTAATCAGCAGGTGGCAAAGCCACCCAAGCCTGTGTCCTTCCCTTCAGGGTGGCGAGTTCCTCTGGTCCCCAGGTGGGTCCAGAAGTGCCAATAAGGATTCAGGAACTAGAGTAAAATACCTTAGAAATGTAACTGGTGTTGCAGCTGGGCTGGCACTCAAACCACAAGATGCAGCCCTTCCAACTCTTTTCTCTCCTTTGCAAAGGCAGAGGGGCCTTATCTCATGGCCACCATCACAGGTCCATGGGAAGTATTGCCAGGCTACCGTCAATTTTCCCTTAAGGCCCAAGATCTCTTAAGTCAGTTTTCTATGAATGCTGTCTGGCTTGAGACTCGACCTTTAGGGCAGTGAGCAACCCGTTGGCACAGGGCAGGTCCAGAAATGCTGGAATCAGGGACTTCAAGAGCCCACCTGTTTCTCTACCTCACTAGTAAGTCTCACCCAAGGCCCTTGATGTAGTTAGTACCTGGGTATCACTGCTGGTTATTCAGGGACCAAGGGCTCTTCAATTAGCAGGTGATGAGTACTGCCAGGACTGATTCCTTCCCTTCAAGGCAGTGGATTCTCTTCTGGCCCAGGGAGTGTCTAGAAATGTCACCTGGGAGCTAGAGCCTAGAGCACAGGCCTTGCAATTCTGACCGGTGGACTACCCTGCTGTGGCTGACAGCTGGTATCCAAGATGCAAGATAGTCTTCCACACTCTTCCCTCTCCTCTCCTCAAGGGGAAGGAAGGAGCCTAGGGTTAGTGGAGGGGTGTTGCCAGCACTCCCTTAGTCTCCCCAGCTGTTGTCTCAGTAGATCACGTGCCCCTCCAGTTCACTGTTGTTGGGCCCAGTTCAGCACTAGGACTCATCTAAGAGTTGCAGTTTTTGTGGCCTAAACCGTCTTTCAAGTTTACTTAGAGACCCCCTCACTTTAGCCCTTGGTGGTGAGTTTTACAGGAACTCAAGTTCAGAACACTGGTATCTGGGATTGTGCCCTGGCTAGGGCTGGTTTAAATGCTCCCTCCACGGGTGGGCAGCAGCGGAGTTTTGTCCTACTTTCCTTTCTATTCTAACAAGACAGCACTGAGTTTAATGTCTCACAGTTTCTGTGCCCTCCCTCCCCCGACTGCTGAGAAATGCACTCCACACCACTGCAGCTGTTGCCCAGGGGTAGAGGAGCGGTGGCATCAGCAATTCAAGACTTTTTTATACCTCTTTAGTGCCTCTATCAGAGATACGAAGTTAAAATCAGGTACTGCGAGTGCCCACCTCATTTTTGGTTCTTATGAAGGTGCTTTCCTTGTGTAGATAGTTGTTATATTTGTGTTCTTGCCAGTGGGGGGAGGAGTCATTAGTGAAGCTTTCTATTCTGCCATCTTGCCCTGCCTTTGCCTATAAAATACTCTTAATCCAAGATAGTGTTTGCTTTACAGAAGAATTACAATAGGTCATAGAGAAGATTATCGAAATATGTTCTCAGAATTGTCATGTTTTCCATATCTGTGGGTATAGTATTTATTATACTTTTCTGAAAATGAGAGCAGCCATTCTGAAAGTAAATGTGAAGCCTATTAGGATTATACCCAGAAAAATGAATCAGTCAGGAGGCATTAATTTTAAAAAACACTATCATAAGAATTTAATTATAAAACTAATACACAATAGGAAATGGTATTATTTAATTGTTTTAGGTGGAAGGTTATAATTAATTTTAGAAGAGAGAGAGAGATTTTAAGAAATATTTTGTTGATCATGTCATTATCAGCTCTGCATTCTGTGGTCCCAGAAAGGCCTATAGCTTTTCACTCAGCCTAATCTCGCATTGTGACCAGGGAGTTCAGCCAGCATGGATGCCAGAACATGGGGTTCCCCACTGAAGCAGGCTTGCCTGGCTCACCAATGCAGTCTTCCTGCCTTTGTGTTCCCATTTCCCTGTGTCCCTGTAAAGATTTGGGCTTCATGGATTTGAGTCTGTCTAATATCTCATCCTGCATCTTGCTGATGCTCAATTCTTACACAAATAGCGTCCTATAGCTTGGAATCTACTTATAGCTCAACTCATAAATTTTTTTCGTCTTATTTAATTTTTAGAGATGTGGTTTTGCTATGTTTCCCGGGTTGAACTAAAACTCCTAGACTCAAGGTATTCTCTTGCCTCAGCCTCCCAAGTAGCTGGGACTACAGGAGTGCGTCACTGCATCCATCTATTCAACTTGTAAAAATTTGACCCCGTCCACTAGATGTATCTTGTAAGTGTGATGTCTCAGTCAGACTCATGTGATAGGCGTACCTCATCTATGCTTTTTAAAATATTTAATTGACAAATAAATATTGTATATACCTAAGGTGTACAATGTGATGATTCGATGTACATATACATTATGTAATGATTATTACAATCAAATTAGTTAACACATCCATCACCACTATACTGTATATTAGATCCTCAGAACGGATGTATAAGTTACAGCAATGTGCTGGTAATTACTCAAAAAGCAAAGGAGTAAAGGGATAATTGCAAAGAGTCAAAATATGGTCAATGAAAAAAAATACTATACAAGCTTAGAGAACTAGTACAGGTTAGGAGTAATTTAAGAAGTAAAGAAGAATATGTCAGCCTAAAGCAAGATCAGATGTATGTGAATCGTGAGAATAGAATGGCTGCAGCATTCAGTGTGACTGCAGCACAGCCCTGAGTAATTCAGTGGAAGCTGACAGATCAATTACGGCCTTGTAAGTTTCCTATACACCTATCAGGAGATTAAGGACTCTCTGGTTATATATTTAACATCAATCCACTGTGTCTTTGCTGAGGCTTCTAAGCTTGAGAATCTATTACAGACAAAAATTTATTTAGAAATGTGTTAAAACAAACACGAGGACTTTATAGGGAAGAATTCTAACTTTCTGATGTTGTTTCCTATGCTTTTGTCAGCAGAACCCTATTTGACACCACTCTAGTTCTCTAAGGCACAGTCCTGACAGTTTATTAGCTTGGTGTAAAATAAGTTCAAGAACATCTGTGAAATGTTTCAAACTGTTAATTCTATATCATTTATTTGCGGAAGTAAACAAAATGCATTAAAAGTTCACTTACCAAGGAATACAGGTTCCAAAACTATTAATTCCATGGAGATGCTGTGTGAAGCTAATACCCAAAATTAACAAAAAGACTCCATGACATTGTAGTTAACACTCTCTTACCATATATTTTTGAAATACATTATATATATACACACACACACATAATATCTTATATATACCAATTAAGATATAAATATATACTTGTATACATATTTTTTAAAAATTTAAACAATTAAACATAAACTCAACATGACATCTTGCCTTCAAGTGAGCCCTAAAGTCTAGATTTTGTCTGTGGTGATCAAGCTTAATCTATGGAGTTCTGACACTTCCTAGCTGTGTGAGCCAGTCCACTTAACAACCACACTTTGCCTTCATTAGCTCATCTCTCTAATAGAGGTTAAAATCCTAGGACTATTTTGAGATTAAATGAATTAATGAAAGTGCAGTGCTTAAAATAGTGTCTGGCACATAAGTGTTTGGAGTGACTGGTGTCGTCCACAACTGTCCTTTGCTATGGTAATTCTACTGAGCTTGTAGTTACCTTCTTCCATTTTTGATATTCTCTATTCTTATCTTTCCCAGGACAAGAGTTTCTTCAGACAATCTAGATAAGATTTATTCTACTATTGCTTTCTTAAATAAAATATTTTTATAACATAGAAAAATAAAATAGACAATCATGTACCTAGTTATAAGGTATAAAGATTTTAAATTAGATTTCAATTTGCTTTTTTAAAGATTTTTCTCTTCATCTCTGTCCCCCATCCAGAGATAACAACTTTCTGAAATTTCTCATTCCCATGCCATTTTAAAAATTCTGCTACTTGCAAATATGCACTAAAAACAAATATTTTTGCAGGCAGTTGGCATATAAAGTAGTTCATATAATAATTTTTAAATTCATGTGATTTTAGGAGTTTAAATCCTAAATTTACAGCCTACAACATTCTCAGTTTGTGCAAATGTAGCAAGTATGTTAGAGGACGCACCATTTTTTCTCAACATTGAGGTAAAAGATGTTTTATACGTGCAATGAATAAAGTTACTCATTGTTTTTTAAATGCTGTATATTTTTGCTACTTTTTATGTTTGACCTATTAATAATTGAAAGTTTCAAAATTTTGGAGATCATGTTGAATTTGTCAGTTTCTCTACATAGTTTTATAAAATGTTCTTGGTTTATTTCAAGGCCCTTTAAAATATAAACAGCATACTTACTGTGTTAAATTGAAATCTATATAATATTTAAAGAATCTCTTTATATCTCATGTCATGAAATCTATTTTGCCTCCATCTTATGTTGGGCCATCATTTCCTGAAATTATTTTTACCATCCCATTACTTTCAGCATTTCTGTGTTCTGTATGTTAGCTCTTATCAAAGAGGACATTATATTTATTTTCAGTCTGACAAGCTCTATTCTTTAAAAGGTATGTTCAATTTATTTGCATGTATGGTGACTTTGGACATTTTTTGAATTCTATCGTCTTATTTTTATCACTTATATTTGCTCATCTTTTTCATGCTTTTGCCTTTCCTCGCATAGTTTCAGAAATGTATGTATGAAGTGCAACAAGTATACAAATAAATGCTTATCCTAAGTTTACAGCTTAATGAATTTCTACTCAGTTCTAGAAAGAGAATCATGACAGCACTGTAAAGCTTATATATGCTGTGCTCATCTCTAAAATGTTTCTCCCTTGCAAAGATTTTATACCAGTATCCAAATATTCAACAAACTTGGGTCCATTTTGCCAGTTTTTGAAAATTTTATAAATGCAATACATGATATTTACTCTTATACCTGGCTTTTATTCACTCAATATTATGTTTGAGAATGCTTCATTTTGTTGCATGCAGGTATATAATTCACTCATTTTCATTTTATGAATAAATCACAATTTATATACACATTCCACTATTGATGTTTGTGAGTTGCATCATATGAGTTGAGATGCATATGAATTGTTCCCAGTATGGGATTCTTATGAACAATTCTGCTACGGACATTTTTATATTTGTTTTGGGTTTTACCAATTTACAGTCTCATCTAAAGTGAATGAGTCATCTACCCTAACACTTTCAGGCAGGAAGGTGAATCTTTCATTATTACTTCATCGTGTCTGGAAAAGGAAGTTCTCTTGGCTGAATTAGAATCTGAGCAGCCTTTCCTGTGCTAGTTTTGTCCCACAATGGAGGCAGTACCTTTCTGTGTACTCCACACAGTGTTCCTTGAATTATGATGTTATTCATCCTGACTGGTTGGTGAGCTCAGGATTGTTCTCTCTAATCCTTTAGGGTGATTCCTTTCTTAGCTTCAGATGCTTTACTTTTATGCATGTGCTGATAAGTGATTATATTCGCTAAATGAAATCAAAGGAGAGTCTTGCCAATCTTCAGAGCTCTCGTGGTGTACTGTCTGCAAATTACAGATTTCTTTGTCTCATTGGACTTTCAACTCCACCTCTTGAACTCACAGAGATCTCTGGGTTTCTTCATCGTGCACTGCTTGACAATTCTTTCTAGAAAGTAACTTAGGCAATTACAGGGCTCACTTTGTATGCTTCTCTTCTATCTGTAAGCATGGTTCTGCACTGGCTAATGCCCAATGTCTGAAAAGCATTTCATACAGTTCATCTGGTTGACAAGTTCTTTCACTAAAGATAATTAATCTGGAACCCCCACTCTCTCTTTTATAGTAGCAGAAGTATATAATAATTAAAATTCATATTTTAAAATAATGTTGATTGTGCATATATTATAACCAAAAAGTTTGCTGACATATTTTATTAGATTGTATAGATTGGTTAAGAAAATATTTGAATTTTCTCTGGAAAATTTCTTTGAAAGTGATGAAATATAATTTTTTTTTTTACTTTTAAACATTTTACAAGCATCTATAATATACTGGCTGAGATTTCTAGAATATTATTGAATATTACAAATGAAAATACATTAAAGACTATGCTTCTATTGTCTTTTGTTACTGAATTTTGTGCTTCTTATATAAATTAGTGTATATTAATCCTTCTTCAAGCTAAATGCGTTTTTAAATTATCAATTTACTGTTAATTTCCTTTAGTTTGATCATTAAAATTTTCAAATGGCTCTAGAATGGTAAATTATATTGATATATTTTATGATTTTCATATGTATTTTAATAAGTTCTTCAATTTATATTATTTAATCATTTACAAATAATATTACTTTTTTTGTTTCTATTCTTTATTCTTTTTGCCTTGTTGTGATCCTTTTAAGTAAACAGGGTGCTTTTGAGATTCTTCTTCGTCCTTAATATTCAGCAATTTTACTTAAATTTTATTTATTTATTTTTTATTTTTATATTGACAAATAATAATTCTGTATATTTATGGGGCAAAATGTGATGTTTTGATCTTTGAATATATTATGAAAAGAGTCAGTCAAGGTAATTAATATATCCATCACCTCACCAATTTACAATTTTGTATGGTGAGAGTGCCACTTAAAATTTTAAATAAGAAGGAAATCTTTCATTATTTTTATAAAATTCTCAGGCATTTTTATTAAATGCTATTTTTATACAATTCACTCAATTTTTCTTCCAATATTTTTATTGGATATATTTCAGATATTATCATCCTATCTTTCATATCTTATTTTTTACCTTTATATAGTATATATGTTATATATGTATATATTTATATAACTTACATACATATATATACACACACACACACGTACATACACACACACATATTCCTGTCATTTTGTTTCTGCTAGTTTTGTTCATGGCAGATCTTTGCTTTGGCATATTTCCTTTTTATTAATTTTTGTTGTTGTTTAACTCACTTTCGGTGGAGCTTGTTTTTACATGAGATTCTTGGCCTGTGTGTGGAAGTTCCTCCTGAGAGAGGCTTTGTAGTTGTTTCTTTCACATGCCACCTTAAATTCCTGCATACATCGTCTTCTCCTGGGTCATTCTAGCAGAAAGTGAGTAGTGTAAGTTGAGACCACTACTATTTATCTGCAGTTAGTGGAAGGTTTAATTTATCAAGTGACAATCTTTATCTTTCCTTTTCATAACCTTAAGCAGAGAGATTCTTTATGACCACCTACCCAGACTAGTAGAAATAGCTTATTTAGTTCCCCTTTCATTAATGGGACAGCCCCCTGAGGTCCCAACTTTTTGACTAACTTTTATACTTCCCCCCATGTTTCTTGCTTTACATAATTAGCAATGTGGCTTCAATTTTCACTCACTTACTTGTGGTCCTGTGTTGTACTATAATATTTCTGGATCCTCATTTACTCATGTTTTATCTGACAGTTGAATGAAATGATAGGGAGAAACTGTTTGTTATACAATTCTGTGGTTATGCTCAAACCATACTACCACCTAATGTATTGGATGAAATATGAAACAGGTATTTTTACCAGAATATTATTAGAAGGCAAATGAACTATTGAAAAATACTGCTGGAGACAATTATATTTTTAAAATATATGATCAAATTTTCTCACAATTGGAAGAATAAAACGACCACTTTTACAAAGCAAGCAAGTGCCAGTCATTACAGGTTGTGTATTACTTGACTGAGTTAAAAATGACCCTGCTAAACCACATCCCTCTTGTATATAAAGGCCCTGAAACACAAAAAATAGCACATTACTAGATAATTTACAGTATTGTTATTTCAGGAGGCTTTTAAATCTGTTCTAAGTCAATGAGAAAGCTCTGACAAAAGGATACAAGTGAGTGATTTAAACTTGTTTTCCCAATATCATCTTTATATGTTTTTGGACTATGTATTACATCAGATTTAAGTTATGAAATGAGAGACACCTGCATTATCTCATGACTTCCATCTCTAGTCAAAATAAACTGTTAAAGGAAGCAATATAAGTTCTGCCCACACAATGTGAAAGATTTCATTAACTAAGATTTGGTATGGGAATAAAATCATGTCCTGCCCCTAAGTACAATACAGCTAAAATGAAGTCTCCTGAGAAAGAAATAAATCAACTATTAATTACATTAATTCAGTGAGTGACACCACCTCATTATTAAAAAAGAAATTCAGTGTGTAAAAAATTATTTTTATAATTTATAAGATGTTGCTAAATTTTTAAAAGTTTATTCTGTTTAAAACTATAAAGCAAATCTTTCATTTTCAGTCTTTAGCCACAAAAGCAGTATTTCACTAAATTCTTTTTTAAGAGAACAGAGGGATCTGGTCCTGTGAATCAGAAACACTTTTCCTTATTCAATATTGATCTCTTTGGTGACAGTGACTCCATGGAGGAGTTGCTTAATTTCAGGTGATTAGCATGGTACAATCTGTGCAAACCAATTATTTCAGGTTTTTTAAAAGATAGAGAAACCTAGATCATATTTTCTAAATAAAATTGCATCAGTCAGCTGGCCTAGTGATAAAGAGGTTGGTCTACATGTCAAGCTATAAAATAACTATCCCATCTTCTGATTTGCTCTCTCTAAATTTTGGTATCAAATATATTTCTTGCTTTGGTCTTCAGTTAGATTTCACTGAGGATTCACAGTGGTAATTAGTCATCTGGTGCCTGCAGATAGAAAACAGTAATATGCCCAAGAGTATAAATAAATCAAGGAGGATACACTAACTCATATTCTCACTGGAAGGAAGCAGACAGACTTTCATTAGTAAATAGATGATGCCTCAAGGGTTTTCATTCACCTTCTGTCATGTAATCCTGTGAATGTGTGACATGGTTACTTTGTTTTATTTAATAAAAATGACAGACCCAGAGACATGAGATAATTAGCTCAAGTTTAAATAGACAGACATAACTGAGACTTTATTTAGTTCCGAATAAACAATCAATTGTCTTCATCTAGTATTGTTTTCTAGTGAAACAATAAATAGAATATATATTTTCTGTGATGCGGATTTCCTTCTATCTTCCAAAGTAAAGTATATAATATATATATGCTATATATATAATATATATTGAATGATATATATTATATATATAGCATATATATACTATGATATATATATCATTCAATAATTTCTTGGTAAAAATAATTATGAAAAGTGTAGCAATACAAGATAATTATCATTTTCATTTATTATTTGGCTGGTTGATTTTTTTTTTGTTGCTCACTATACATCGAGCACTCTTCAAATTGTTTGACTCTGTTAGTTCAATTAATCTACAGTACAGTCCTGTGAGTTAGATACTAATATGACACTCTTTAAAAATGAAGAATTTGAGGACATCTTGAACCCAAGAGTTCAAGTCCCAATCCCAGCCCTATAGGTATCTTCAAATTCTTCATTTTTAAATGAACTTTGGTCTGAGGTCGCTGATCTGACACACAGCACTGTCATTTCCTCACAGATACGTTTCACTTACATTATTTTATTTATAAAATCTTCCATAATGCAATTCAAAATTTAATATTGGTTGTAGGATGATCTTATAGAAATTAACTGAATGCCTACATACAGCAGAGCTGTATCAGTAGAATCTATACCCTTCCTGACAAATAGCATGGTAATGCTTTCTCCCCAGGATGAAACAGAGAAATGGAACCACAAATCAGTAAAAGTTCTGAGGTGAGAAACTGGAGAGGGTAACAGAGAAGAAGTTGAATAAGTTCATCTTGCTACAGTAACTAAAAAACAAGCAAAGAAACAAAAAACAAAACACACACACAAAAAAACACATATAGGTAACAAGCATAACAACATTCCCAGGCAGCTAATAAAGTTTCTATACTATTATTTCTGTGATTGTTTATTTCCTGATCTTGCACTGTATCCTCGAAACTTGCTCTTAGACAAGCAGTAGCCAATTATACAAGGCACCGTCAGTTTAGAGAGGGATGGTTTTGACCTATTTAGCTGCATGGAGAGCCAGTCTACTAATTGAACTACACCTTCCTTAGATCCATAAGCAAAACAGGAAGTGTTTTCCCAGTACTTGAAGCAATCTAAGAGCATGAAATAAAAGGAGCAGGATATGCAGATGGAACAACTAAACTCAGAAATACAAACAGAAATAAAGTAGAAAACAAAAGATAATTTGAAAACTTTTAAGAGAGCCTAGTGAATATCAAGTCTATAAAATAGTGTACTGTGAAGTTAAAGGCGCAGCCAGAAAAATAAGTCATCTTGAAAACCAAAAACACAAATTCCAAAAAAAAGCAAAAATCAGTAAAATAAATGACCAACAGAAAACATAGATATATATGAAACAAATGCATTCAAAAAAGTTTTTAAAAATCTAAATAGTCAAGTAAATTTGAGAAACATCTTTAAAAAAGAAAACTGGGAAAATTCAAGGTCGAAAGAGAAGCTTGAGGAAATCCAGTATTTGATCCAGAGGGAGAGAATAAATAAGATAGACGGAAGTTACTTTAATAAATAATGTGTAAAAATTTCTAAATTGAGAAAAAATACCTGTATTTTGAGTCTCTACCTTTAACTAAGAAAAAACAAAATGAAAATTAATATGTGACACATGTAAATACACTGTGATAAAAAGCCTGAGTTCTGATCATGAAGAAATCATTAAAAGTTTTAGGAGGATAAAAGAGAGAATATCAGTTTTTTTACAAATCAAAAAAATCAGAAAAGCATAGGAGTTATATAAAAACATGGATTTGGTGAACATTTAAAAATATAAATTAGTTAATGTACAAAATCTACTGTGATTTTCATGTTTAATAGTCTCTTGCATTTTTATAATTTTATTAATACCTTCATTTTCCTGAAATATGCATTGTAGGTTGTCTATATTTTTTAATTTTACACAAATGGAATCACTCTCTGTGTATTCCTCTATAACTTGCTTTTCTTATTCAAAATTAGTACATGAAGTTAGTCATATTTATGTGCATATTGGACATTCAGTTACTTTTTCTTTTTTACAGAATTGAGTTTTGTGAATACAGCACAAATTATCCATTTTTCTTGTTGGCCATATTTACATAGCTGCTTTAGCTCTCTTATGGTTTTATTTGCATGCTATATATTTTTTATTTTACTTTCAATGTACTTGTATCTTTGAATTTAAGGTACATCTCTTGTAGATAACTTGTTATTGATATTATTGGATCTTGATTTTTAATCCAGCCTGACAATCTCTGCCTTTGATTGAAATTTTAGTTCACATGCATTTAATGTAACTCTTAATGTGCTTTAGTTTATTTCTTTCATGTGCTCTTTTTTTCTTTACAGCACGTGTTTGTTTCTTGGTTGGTGTGGTTTTCCATTACTGTCTTCTTTGTAAAAGAAGGGTCAATTATTTTAATTCTTGTGTTGATATTTTAAACATAGTGTTAATTAATTTTGGTAGTTTTTCTAGAGATTATATTATACATATCTGATTTATCACAAACTGCTTTCACATTGCACTAGCATAGTTTTATCCCACACCCACCACGCTATCATCATTATATATATATCAGTTATTTACTTTATGAACCCAATCATATGGAGTCACAGTTTTGCTGTGAGGTATGCGTGTGTGTATATGTATACAAACGTTGTTTATATTTACCCACATAATTACCATTTTCCATGATGTTCATTTATTCTGTGCATTTCTTTTTAGTCTGAGAGACTTGCTTTAACACTTCTTTAAAAACAAGTCTGTGAGCAAAGACTTCTCTCAGTTTCTGTTTATATGAGAATGTCCATATCATCTTCACTTTTGAAGGATAATTTCACCAGATACAAAATTCTTGTTTTACAGATTTTTAAAATATTTCAGGACTTAAATATGTCATTTTACAGCTTCACTGTCTCTGGTCTGTGACTTTTGATGGAAAATCAGCCATTTGGTGAATCTTGTTCTTGTAAAGAGTCACTTTCTCTTGCTGCCTCAAGATATTTTCTGTCTTTGGCTTTTATCAATTTGACTATGATGTGTTAGGTTTACTTCTCTTTGTATTTATCCTGTGTTTGGTTCGTTGAACTTCTTGGATATGCAAGTTAAATATTCCATCAAATCAGGAACAGTTTCAGACTTTATATATATTTTTTCTGGTCATTGTTCTTTCTGCTCTATTTCTAAAAACCTCATTATACATATCTTAAACACTTGGTATTGTCTCAGAGGTCTCTAAGGTTCTGTTCATTTTTCTTGAAACTTTTTCTCTCTTAGTTCACATTAGATAATTTCTATTGATATTCCTTCAGGCTTACTGGTTCCTTTTTGATACCTTGATTCAAAGGTATAAAAGCAGGCATATATTAAACTTTTCATTTCAGATTTTATACTTTTAATTCTAGGTTTTTCATGCTTTATAGATTGTATCCCTGCTTGCTGACTTATTATTAGCATATTTTCTATTAATTGTCTTTTTATTTTATTTAATTTTAAAACTTATCTGTAATAGGTGATTTGAAGTATCTGTTAAATCCAGCATATAAACATACTGAGATACAGTCTCTGTTTAAAGCTTTTTTTATCATTCTGACTATAGGTCACACATCTCTGTTTGTACATAGGTTTAACATTTTGATTGAAATTGGACATTTTAGATAATATAGCAACTATCAGTTCTGTTTCATTTCCCTCCATAATTTTGGTTATTTTTACTTAAGTGGTTTGCCTAGACTTAAACTTTTATGTGCAGATGTTGATGTCTTTGCTCAGTTTTGTTTTCTAATTGTAACCTCTCTCACTGAGAGATCTACAAAATTCAATAACAAGCCCCTTATCTGAGTATAAATGATACTGAGGTATAATTATGGCCTGAATTGTGGCACCTGATATAATTTATATGTTGAAATTCTAACCCAATACCTCAGAATGTATTTAAAGATAAGACGTTAAAGAGGTAGTTAAGGTAAAGTGAGGTAATATGGCAGGGTCCTGATCCAATCTCACAGGTGTCCTTTACAGGAAGAGGGGATTAGGACGGAAACAGACACGCACAGAAGACCATGTGCTGACACAGGGAGACGACCCTCTACAAGTCAAGGAGAAAGGCCTCAGAAAAAATAAGCCTTGTTGTCACATTGATCTCAGACTTCTGGTTTCCAGAAATGTGAGAAAAATATACTTCTTTTTATTTTTCTTATTATACTTTAAGTTCTGGGATACATGAGCAGAACATGCAGGTTTGTTACATAGGTATACATGTGTCATGGTTTGCTGCACCCATCAACCCGTCATCTAGGTTTTAAGCCTCACATGAATTTGGTGTTTGTCCTAATGCTATCCCTTCCCTTGCCCCCCACCCTCCTACAGGCCCTGGTGTGTGACGTTCCCCTCCTTGTGTCCACGTGTTCCCACTGTTCAACTCCGACTTATGAGTGAGAACATGTGGTGTCTGCTTTTCTGTTTCTGTGTTAGATTGCCCAGAATGATGGTTTCCAGCTTCCTCCATGTCCCTGCAAAGGATATGAACTCATTCTTTTTTATGGCTGCATAGTATTCCAAGGTATATAAGTGCCACATTTTCTATATCCAGTCTATCATTGATGGTCATTTGGGTTGGTTCCAAGTCTTTGCTATCGTAAATAGTGCTGCAATAAACATACGTGTGCATATGTCTTTATAGTAGAATGATTTCTACTACAGGTATATACCTTTGGGTATATACCAGGTAATAGGATTGCTGGGTCAAATGGTATTTCTGGTTCTAGATCCTTGAGGAATTGCCACACTGTCTTCCACCATGGTTGAACTAATGTACACTAAGTTTAAGCCACCCAGTATGTGGTACTTTGTTATGGCAACTCTAGCAAACTAATATAGCTCTTGCTACTGGGCAGTGTGGTGCTGCTGGAAAAATATCTAAAAATGTAGAAATGATGTTGGAACTGCGTAATGGGTAGAGGCTGGAAGAATTTTGAGGTTTATACTAGAAAAAACTGGATTGTCTTAAAAAGACTCTTGGTGAAAATAAGGACATTGAATATAATTCTTTTGTGTGCTCAAAAAAAAGAGGAGCACTGTAGACAAAGCTTCTATCGTATTAGAGATATATGTGGCTCATCATGCACAGAATGTTGGTACAAATATGGATGCTAAAGGTGATTCTAATGAGATCCCAGGGGGTAATGGGGAACATGCTATCAGAAACTAGAGGAAAGGTCATCCATTTATGAAGTGGCAGAGGAGTTGGCTGAAATCTATTTTATCGTTTTGTGGAAAGTAGAACTTGCAAGGCATATACTTGTTTATTTAACTAAGTAGATTTCTAAGCAAAGTGTTGAAGGTACAGTGTTGTTTCTCCTTGCTGTGTACAGCAAAATGTGAGAGGAGATAAATTAAAGAGGGAATTATTAGGCAAAAGGAACCAGAACTTGAAGATCTGAAAAATTTATAGCCTACTTATATTCAACAAATAAGAAAATAAAGTGTATACTGCCAAAGACATCAGGGGTGCAACTGGACATCAATTTGCTACAGAGATTATAGACATATGACTTATGGATACAATCAGTCATTTCAGCAGAAGCCGGGAATAGAGATGAGGACATACCTATGGAAATGCTGCCAACTTGAACTGAAGGGGCAGTTAGGCTGAAATGGAGGAAGTTTCAGACCTATGAGATTCTACAGGACATGGCAATAGAGCTATCTGGACAAGCATATGCATTATACTTTAAGAAAAGAGAAGAAAGGCCCTGAAGGTAATTTAGGAGTCAGCAGGGCTGCCACTGGCACCCTGAGCCCAGAGAGCAGAGGCCTGGGGATTAGGGCTGTCTGCCACTGCCCAGGGCCAAGGGGTCAGAGCCATCACACTTGTGGGTTTGGAAGCTAGGAGCACCCTTGCGAGCTCAGAAGATAGAGTGAGTCAAAGTGAGTTATTTTTGTGGCTTAAAAAAAAGAAATTGCATGAAATTTACCTTGCTAGGTTTCCAGGACCCCTTACCATTTTCTACTTTCTGATTTCTCCCTTCCAGAATGAAAATGTCTTCAATGCCTGTACCAGCATTGTATTTTGGAAGCAGATAACTTACCTGGTTTCACAAGTTCACAGCTGGAGGGGAATTTGCCTCAGGATGAATCCTACCTCCTCTCACCCATACCTGATTTAGAGAATATTTAGATGAGATTTTCTATTTAGAGTTACTAAATAGAAAATTATTGGAGTGGGTTAACACTCTGGGGACTGTTGAAATGGAATAAGTATATTTTTCCTGTGAGAAGAACATACATTTCAGGACACCCAAGGGCAGAGTGATACGGGCTCATATGTGTTCTTCCAAAATTCATGTGTTGAAGTCCTAACCCCAGGACCTCCCAGTGTGACAGTATTTGGAAATAGACCCTTTAAAGAAGGAATTATGGTAAAATAAGGTCATATAGTGGGGCTCCAATCTAACCTAACTGGTGTTCTCATAAGAACACAGATAAACATAGAAGGATGACCATGTGAAGACATGGAGAAGATAGCCATTTACAAGCTAAGAAGAGATGGCTCAGAGAAATCCAACTCTGCCAATACCTTGATCTTGCCCCCAGGACTGTGAGAGGTTAAATTTACAGCTGCCCAGTCTGTGGAACTTTGTTATGGCAGGCTAATACTAAGCCAGGCACCTTATCTTGGAAGGCTGCTATTCTCTGCCAGCTGAGCTGTGGGTAGGTTGTAGAATGCATTCAAATTTGTAGCCAGCTCAAGTCACACTTGTCTTTCACTTTTTCATTCTGTTGTCTCAGCACCCAGCTTCTCCAGTTTGCATAGTTTAGCTGTAAGACTTTCACATATGCATAGAGTATTTTAGTCTATCTATGTCTTTCTCATTTTTCGTTAAATTTCTGGCTTGTCTAATGCTGTTCTGAATCAGGCTTTCAAACTTGGGCTACCAAAACTATGGCTTTTCCCCATCTCTTCCAAGCAAAGTCTACTCCTTTTAGCTGGCAAATCCATGGGTTTTCACTCACACTCTCCCCAGTGGAGTTAATCACCTCTTACTGCGTAGCTGCTTGATTTTCTGCCACCCCCCCATTGGAAAACCTATAGTTTTTTCAAGCCAAGTAGAGACTTAGGAGATTTTATGCCCAGGCAAGAAACCCAGCAACTGTTTCTGTTCTTACACAAAACTGCCAACTTGTTATCTTCCTTTGACCAATTTCCTGGGCTATGAAATATTTGTTATTATTGTTACTGTTGAAAATCTGTCCAATTTTTCACTTGTTTTCTCTGGAAGAGAATTGCCCAATTTATTCATGCCATCTTTAACAGCAGTCCTTCACTCTCTTTATTAGATTTAATAAAAACCTCAAAGGCATTGACGTTTTGAGGGAAATTTCACAGCATTAACCACAATTAGTAATAGGCATGTTCTTATTCTCCGATACTCCACAGTTGTGTTTTTAATCATCTATCCAGAAACATTTACATATGCACAAGAGACAAAAACATTTATTAGATGTTTATGAAACATAGAAAAACCCTCAACTTTGGAAATTAGGTAGGTTAAATTATAATAACACTTTAATAACTTTGATACAGAGCTGTTATAGTGTTATTGTAAGTATTTAATCATACAGATGCTTGGAAATTTATATATGTGTATATATATATATATATACACATGTATACAGATACACACATGTGGAAATGTACACATTAAATAGTTAACATTTGTTTAAATTTCTGGAGATGGAATTAAAAAATAGTTATGGTTGTTGATATGGTTTGGCTCTGTCCCCACCCATATCTCATCTTGAATTGTAGTTCCCATATTCCCCACATGTCATGGGAGGGACTGAGTGAGAGGTAACTGAATCATGATGGTGGGTTTTCCCAAGTTGTTCTTGTGATAGTGAATAAGTTTCATGAGATCTGATGGTTTTATAAAGGCATTTCCCTGCACATGCTCTCTTGCCTGCCACCATGTAAGATGTACCTTTGCTCTTCCTTTACCTTCTGCCATGATTGTGAGGTCTCCCAAGCCATGCTCAACTGTGAGTGAATTAAACCTCTTTCCTTTATAAATTACCCAGTCTCGGGGA
This sequence comes from Homo sapiens, assembly GCF_000001405.40. NCBI lineage: Eukaryota > Metazoa > Chordata > Mammalia > Primates > Hominidae > Homo > Homo sapiens. Next base: position 49,079,890 of record NC_000007.14, on the reverse strand, counting down.
AGTCTTTATTAGCAGCATGACAATGTACTAATATGGTAAATTGGTACTGGGTAGTGGGGCACTGCTGTAAAGATACCCAAAAATATGGAAGCGACTTTGGAACTAGGCAACAGGCAGAGGTTGGAACAGTTTGGAGGGCTCATAAGAAGACAGAAATATGTAGGAAAGCTTGAAACTTCCTAGAGACTTGGAGGGCTCAGAAGACAGGAAGATGTGGGGAAGTTTGGAACTTTGTAGAGACTTGTTGAATGGCTTTGACCAAAATGCTGATAGTCACATGGAAAATAAAGTCCAGGCTGAGGTGGTCTCAGATGGAGATGAGGAACTTGTTGGGAACTGGAGCAAAGGTGACTCTTGTTATGTTTTAGCAAAGATTCTGGTGGCATTTTGCCTCTGCCCTAAAGATCTGTAGAACTTTGAACTTGAAAGAAATGATTTAAGATGTCTAGTGGAAGAAATTTCTAAGTGGCCAAATATTCAAGAGGAAGAAGAGCATAAAAGTTTGGAAATTTTGCAGCCTGATATATGATAGAAAAGAAAACCACATTTTCTGGGGAAAAATTCAAGCTTGCTGAAGAAATTTGCATAAGTTACAAGGACCCAAATGTTAATCACCAAGGCAATGGGGAATATGTCTCTAGGGCATGTCATAGACCTTCATGATAGCCCCTCCCATCACAGGATTGGATGCCTAGGAGGGAAAAATTGTTTCCTGGGCTAGGTCCAGGGCCCCTTTGCTGTGTGTAGCCTAGGCACTTGATGCCTTTCATCCCAGTCACTCTAGCTGTGGCTAAAAGAGGCCAACATACAGCTCAGGCTGTTGCTTCAGACGGTGCAAGCCACAAGCCTTTTTGGCTTCCTTCTGGTATTGGGCTTGCAGGTGTACAGAAGTCAAGAATTGAGGTTTGGGACCCTTGGCCTAGATTTCAGAGGATGTATGGAAATGCCTGGATGTCCAGGCAGAGGTGTGCTGCTGGGATGGAGAACTCATGAAGAACCACTGCTAGGTCAGTGCAGAAGGGAAATATGGGGTGCAAGTCCCTACACAGAATCCCCACTGGGGCACTGCCTAGTGGAGCTGTGAGAAGAGGACCACCATCCTCCAGATGCCAGAATGGTAGATCCACCAACAGCTTGTACTGTGAGCCTAGAAAAGCCACAGACATTCAATGCCAGCCTGTGATAGCAGCCAAGAGAGGGACTGTAAAGCCACAGGTGCAAACTGTCCAAGACCATAGGAACCCATCCTTTGAATCAGCGTGACCTGGATATGAGACATGGAGTCAAAGGAGATCATTTTGGAGCTTTAAGATTTGGTTGCCCTGCTGGATTTTGGACTTGCATGGGGCCTGTAGCACCTTCGTTTTGGCTAATTTCTCCCATTTGCAGTGGGTGTATTTACCCAATGCCTATATTCCCATTGTATCTAGAAAGTAGTTAACTTGCTTTTGATTTACAGTCTCATAGATGGAAAGTACTTGCCTTGTCTCAGTCAGATGAGGCTTTGGACTATGGACTTTTGAGTTAATGCTGAAATGAGCTAAGATATGGGGGACAGTTGGGAAGGCACGATTGGTTTTGAAATGTCAGGACATGAGATTTAGGAGAGGCCAGGGGCAGAATTATATGGTTTGGCTGTGTCCCCACCCAAATCTCATCTTTAATTGTAGCTCCCATAATCCCCATGTGTCATGGGAGAGAGCCGGTGGAAGGTAATTGAATCATGGGGGATGGTTTTCCTGTGTTGTTCTCTTGACAGTGAATAAATCTCACGAGACCTGATGGTTTATAAAGGGCAGTTCCCTTGCACATGCTCTCTTGCCTGCCACCATGTAAGATGTGTCTTTGCTCTTCCTTCACCTTCCACCATTATTGTGAAGCTGCCCAGCCATGCTTAACTCTAAGTCAATTAAACCTCTTTTCTTTATAAATTACCCAGTCTTGAGTATGTCTTTATTAGCAGTGTGAGAATGAACTAATATAATTGTGGATAATTTTCACTTTGAAATCCATATATTTCTTAAATGTTTAACATTTTTAGAATAGACTATTTTAACTTTTTGCCATATAAAAACCAAAAAACAAATGGAAACAAAAGAAAGTATATTTCTATATTTGTGTACTTTTGGAGGATGTGAGAAAATTTATATTCTGGGCTTGAAAAATTAAAGCCAGCTTACAACTAATTTTGTATGCATACTGTTAAGATTTTACCTCCTAGTACAGCTGGCAGACACTTTCCTTTGATATCACACTTTAATACTGATATTGTTTATGGGAAAATTTAAAACCCTAGCTGGCTGTTTTGCTGGAATCTTCTGCCAGACTTCTAAGTTCAACCTTATTGATTTGGGTCAGCCTCATCTCCTCAATTCTCTCCCCATTGGCTTTCAAGGAGACTTTGCATTAACTCTGATCTTCACATTTGCAAAATGTTTGGAGGCAGGTGAACCTAGAAAACTGAAATGCTCTGCCAGTGGATATTGAAGTGTGGCCCAGTTTTACAGGGAATGAAGTGTGTGCATACTTTGCCCAAAGGGCAGCAGCTTCCAAATGTTTAGTGTAACATAGCAGCCACATGCTCCCTGCAGGAGTTCGAAGTCCACTTGGGGCCTTCAGCTGCCTCTCTCTGAAGAAAATCCATGTGCTGTGACATCTTTACTCATTATATTTCAAGGCTGACTGCTTTAAAACTTCATTTTTGGTTTGATGCAGTTGTATTTTATTTATATGTACTTGAATGTTTTTCTGAAATTGCTCCTTTTTATTAAAAACTCAAGTATATTTTTATATTCTTTATAATCTTTTATTTAAAATGTGGAAAAGAAAGAAACAGCTCAAGTAGCTGTTAAATATTTTACACATGAAATCAAGAAGTTTGGATGTATTCTTTACTCTATCCTCCAAGATTTTTAATTTTACTATTTTGATAAAAGTTCTGATCTTAAACATAGCCTTTGTCAGTAATAATACTAAGGATTATTTCCTCCAACAAATTATAATTTTACTAATGCAAGTTAGCAACCCAGTGATGAATTTTTTATTCCATTTGCACAGGGACAGAGCTCTATTGTGTGGAATCATGCATGCTTTCTGACTTGATAAGTTAACTGAGAATACCCAGTTACTACTTTTAGTTGAAAGATCTTTTTTGTTTGGAATTTATGCTGAAAGCAAATCCCATCTATTTAAGTGAGAATGTATTTTTCACTTAACACATTTAAACAACAAATTCTGTGAAGCAAAATAATGCAGTTACTAGGTTCTATAAATATATACTACCAAATATTTTATAGACTGCATGATTTAATTAGGTCCTGAATAAGTACATAACCCAGATGCATGCGGTAAAAGATAACCGACAGCATAAGAGCACATGGTGCTATTTATAATATGATTTATTGATGCAAACCTATAAGTTGAGAAAGAGTAAAACAACCAGATCTCTCAACTTCTAGTCTACCAAGGGTCATTCATTGACTAAAAGATGGACATACGAGAGAGAATGCCAACCCAATGATGTTGTATATTGGTAGCAGAACTCAAGAAGGTTGAAATGCCCCATATGTATCAAAAGTATCTCCAGGGACAGAAAACACAGCTATGGAGGCCACATACAGATGTCCCTGAGAATAATCCTACAACCCCTTAGAATGTCCCAGGTTATCTTCTTACCAAGAGTGCTGACATTAGCCAAAGTCCCTGTCAAGCCACCAAAGATGGGTTCAATTCTGCAAAGAAAAAAACAACAGTGTAGAAAAAATGTGTAAAGGTGCCTCCATGGCCTTACAACCAAGGCCCAAAATCCACCTCCTTCTATCAGGAACATAAAAGAATGAAAGAGACTGGTACTTCCGCTTGAATTTGGAAACAAAATGAAAATGCTTGATAATCATCTATGAATATCTGTGTCTTTACTTTTTTCTCAAGATTAGTTGTGTACTTAAAACAAATAGCACTTTTTTTTTTTCTAAAAATAACTACAGTTAGCCCTTGGACAACCTGGGTTTGAACTGGATGGGACCACTTATACAAGGATTTTCTTCTGCCTCTGCAAATCTGAGACAGCAAGACCAACCTTTCTTCTTCTTCTTTCTCCTCAGCCTACTCAATGTGAAGATGATAAGGATGATGACATGTATGATGGTCTACTTCCACTAAATGAATAATAAGTATATTTTTTGCTTATGCTTATCTTAATAACATTTTTTTCTCTAACTTTCTTTTTGTAAGAATATAATATAGAATACATAAAATAAACAAACTCTTTGTTGATAAACTTAATTAGTAGGTCTTCCAGTCAACAGTGGGCTATTATAAGTTAAGTTTTGGGGGAGTCAAAATTTTATGCAGACTTTTGACTGCACAGAGGTTGGCACTCCTAACCCCCTTTGTCGTTCAAGGGTCAACTGTACTTGTAGGATATCTAAGAAATACATGAGCGATAGCTAGATCATACTGATCTCAATTTCCTTACAGATTCAATAAGGCCTCAATCCATATATTTCCTTAGCATGATGAAAATTAATAATATATATAAACATCTCCTAATAAAGCCATTATATACTTTGAAAAGAACACTGGACTACTTCATTTTGAAGCTTTTTTAAAAGTGCACATTTTCAGTGCATCTCTTAGCAAATGTACTTATTATATATAACACAAAAAATAAATTTCACCTAGTATAAGGAAGATCATTGTTAGGATAAGAGAGGCTTTATAGTGTGAAAATTTAGAGAGAAATATACTAATGTAAAAAGAGGGAAAAAGTCCATACCCCTCTAAAACAATATTGTAACACGTTTGCTGGTCAGCCCATGGAAAACCCCATTAGAAGATTTATTCACATTTCCAGTAGAGAGGCCAGAGTAGTCATTCCCTATGACATGCCCATCTGTATTTTGCGTCTGTGAAATGAACATGTCAGATCAGGCAAGCAGCATGACTTGCCCATGGCTGTCATCACGTGCCTCCACAATGTATCCAAAAATAAACAGGAAAAAATAAGGAGACTAACAAGGATGAGATTAACTTGGCAAATATTTTATACCATAAGCACACTTATCATTCTAATAATTTTACTTTTTGAAGCCACATGAGATGAGTAGAATTATATCTGGGTGTCATATTCTGAGTGATCACATAAACAGACTGAAATTTGCCCTGTCAGCTGTGAATCCAGGTAACTGGTCATGGACTCCTCTGACATTCTGACGTATGTCTTGATGAAGATTAGAACATATTGTATGGTGAAAAATGACAGACAATGGAACTCAATCCAGTCATTTAGATATTCACCAAATTACATCCTCCCATGTTTAAAAAGGAGAGCAGATAACTAATGATTCACTGAGAACATTTTTGCTAAGTCGGCTACAAGTTACCCTAGGAAACAGCAAAGAGTAGATGATGATTATCCGGCTAAATATGTATTTTTTTTTCTAAAATTTGTGTTTACTTTCAATGTCTCCTTTTTACTATCAAAATGGATAATGTCAAAAATCATATTCAAGAAGTGAAATAATTTTGCTTGAAGGGCTTGTGATTTGTGGCAAGATTACTTATTGAATAACTGTTATATAATCCTGCTTAAATTAAATTTTTCAGATAAATCACGTTGAATTTTTATAGTAGGCATAGAGATTTAGCATTACTTACTGTTAGATGTGAAAAGGCAGCATCTTTGATTACTTAGTTGATGGCGCTGAGCTCTAGAACATCAGATAGGAAGGACAGACCACAGGTCCAGTAGGGAGCTGTCTCTTGACTTTATCATTTCCTTTTGTTACTCTCACCTCTCTTCCCACCTTTTCATTTGTTGAAAGGACTGTAATTTTATCATGTGTTTCTCTTCCCATACTTCTTCGTAAAAATATAATTTATTTCTCTTATCCACTATAACTTTTCTCTTCTAATCCCTAGTATTCTCGTTTTTCTTTTACTATCCCTTTGAGCCTTTTATCTTGACAGATGTCTGCTCTGCTTGCTTTCCACATTTTGGTAGATATTAATAAAACAAGTGAAACAGGCTACTTGACTTTTATTGAAAAGATGCCTTATTTGCCAATATCTACAGTATATATACTGATAGATAGATATACACACACTGATATATATAAAAGGACATATATATATATATATAAAATTTTAAAACTATAAAATGAAACCCAAAGTTCAGGTACCCATCAATTATTTCAATTTTGATTATTCTTCTGTAAAACACCAGTAAAAATTCAAGCTAAGAATACTGACTTTTGAATAGAGTCAAAAGTCAGATATTCTAATAATTTATCTGGCATGATTCTTAAGATTTATTCCCCATAGTGTTAGATATTCTATTCTTACACAGAAAGCTATACATCTAAATGATATTACTAAAAATTGCTCTCAGAATTTAAAATCAAAGAATCATCACTTTATTCTGAAAAAATCAAATGTATTGAATTAGACAATGGAAGCTTTATAAATTTTTCTTTGATTGGAGAGTGTGCTTCATTACGATGTTTTTCTTTGCACTGTTTTATATATGCATTTTTTCATTCCCACTTATTGAAATATTCTTTGTATTTTAATTTTCATTTAGCTATCTCTGACTGCTTTTAAGAAAATGAGTATGATCAACTAATCAATACATTTTTAAAAATGCCTTTTCAATATATATTTAGAGTCCAAGATATTCTTGGACATTTGAATATCTTTTTTTATACCATTTGTTCTTTCCTGCGACTAATGCAAAACCCATAATATTTATTGTAATAATAACTACAGAAAGTGTATATGCAAAGCACTATTTTGTAGATGTTTGAGGGTCGAGTTATTTCAAACATTGGGTGATGAGATTATCTCATCCATAGTGACTTTTTAAACACTGACATTTTTGATCCTTGATATATCCTTTCCATGTTAAAATAAAATCTGTTTGTGAGCCCAAATTTATTTGGTTATAATCAGCAAAGTTTATTCAGGATAAATTTATGACTTTCAATAAGTTTTATGGTATTTGTTCCTTATGTGTTTATATATTTTTAAAGGCCTCCTTAATTTGTTTTCATTTATATGACCGTAAAGTCACTTCCACCTGTTCTTACTTACAGGTCATTCATGGTACCTTTAAGCCTGCAGAGTCTGCAGTTCTATCATGGGTTCTGAAGAGATGAACTAAGAAACACAGCCTAGTTATCTAATTGCATTAACTTGTAATCATTAAACAGGAAGGTAGTTAGGAAATTTACTAACTCGTAACTTAGTTGAGAGCATTACCCTGGCCTCATCCTTCTTACAGTTTGCTTAATTCCACAACCTCTGATATACACAAAACATTTCAATAGCTGCTGTTTAATAAATATGTGCTGAAGACATCTTAGTTTCAGACCATTTTATGCTAACTCAAATTTATTTTCTACAATTACAAATTTACTTCTTATTACAACTATACCTAGTAATAATACATGTAGAACCTAATTTCTAAATTATATTATAAAAAAACTTAATGCATCTGAAATTATTTAGATGAGTCTTAGGGCTCAGTTATTCTAAACCAAACTGAGCAGATATGATATACATCCCAATGAGCAAAGGATCCCTTTTTTATTCTTCACACTCAACTCTAGCTTGACACACTAGCTAATGTTTTTTAGATACAGTATTGCTATTATAAAAAATGCAAGAAAATCATTACTTTCCTATAACAATTTGTATGGATTTATTGCTTAATTAGTCTTCTTACCTTTATTTGACAGGGGTTATTGAGTGCGGCTTACACCTCTATAAAGCCAGAACAAAATCTAAGTAATCTTCTATAGGGCCCCACATTAAAATGTAACATAACCAGACAGTAAAATGTATTACCACACCTCAGAGAGTTTTCAATTTGTCATATATTTCAAGCAGTTGGGAAGATGTGTATTCAAGAAGTGAATTATTTCCTGGGAAGGAGCAAAGCCACTCAACAACAACAAAACAATTAGATTAATTATTTCTAATCAAGTGAAAATGGTCAATACCTAGACAACACCATGTTAAATATGAGCTTTATGAGCAACGAGAAATGGAGCCCAGATAATTATTTGAGGAAATAATATTAACCATAACACAGTGAGTGTTGCAGATAATTTTTGGAGAATATTTGCCCCAAATTGGATACTTTTTAGAGCTGCATAATGTAATTGGTGCTGTTTTGATTGTTGTCTTCACGTTTAACTATATGATCTGTTACTGACTAGCAAGACAATGATTTGCTCGATAGTCAAGGTACTCAATGCAGACAGACAATCATATCCTAAAATAAAGCCAAAGCTATTTATGCAAATATAAGCATAATTTTGAATATAAATATTTATTCAACATAATGTAGATACTCTATATTCCACTAGCAATCAGACATTCCTCAAGTCCCCAGAAATTCAGTTACTAAGTTTCAAATGCTGTTGCCTGAAGGGCCCCTGGATCTTTTCCAGGAGTCTCTGTTGGTGATTTTTAGTTCCTTTGTCTTTGGGAGTGTCATATGTCCATTTGACTCTCTATTTGCTCTCAAACAGTCTGATGTCATGTGAATCTTGTGGCTATTGGTATCATGTCTAAATTTGCTTATAACTTGACTTCATAGAGATACATTGTAATATTCTCTTTTTTTTTGTAGATAGTGTTTGTGGGTGTTTGGTTTTGTTCCCTTATGTGTTTCCTTTGTTTTTTTTTTTTTGTTTTTTTGAAGGATTTGGTTTAACAGTTATTCAGCCCAAACAATTCTCAACAGATTTGTATAAAATTGAAAGCACACAATGTATATTCTCCAACCACAAAGCAATTAATTTAAAAATCAACACTAGAAAGAAATTTGGGAAATTCCCAAACATGTGGAAATTAAACTATACTCTTATAACCAATAGGGAGAAAACTCCTAAAGGAGCTGATAATATACTTTAAAATGAATGAAAACAAAACACAAGGGACTCTGGGGCATAGGGGCTGTCCCTAATTTTTGAGTACCTGGCCCTGGGTGATCAGGGCGGGTAGACAGTTGCCCAGAGTGTGACAGACCCATAGAGGAGGGGCTTGGGGTGTTGACTCTGGGTTTACTGGTTTGTCTTTCAAAAGCACACTTCTGAAAGGGGAACTTCCACCATGGCAATGGAAAGGAATAATGAGGGAGACAGGGCATCAAGGCAAGGTGACTCAGGCACATCATCAGGTTGTCCAGAACAATGTGTGTCCAGCATATGCATGCAGGTCAGATGTTAAAGTATCAAGCTTACAGAAACTGGAAACATGATTCGCACAACCCCAAAATCCAATTGATCCAGACTTATATTCTTATCTTCAGGGTGATGGTAATGGTGGCATTAAACATGGAACTAGGAAAGTAAAGGGGAGGGCAAGGAAGCAGTATTTCTTCTTTGGGAAACCTGGAAACAGACTTTGTGTCTTCAAGTCTCAGTATTCTCCCAGTTCAGTCTCACTGGTTAGGGAAAAAAAATGCATCAACTAACAAGGAGATTAACTGAATCTATTGTAAATGTGCTAGAAGGACTTAAAATTGTCTCATCAATATCTAAGACAGAGACAATTACTACTACTGAGGGCAAAACAGAACTGCATAAGGGTTGTACTGAAATTAAACAGCTGATCCCTTAAAATTCTCTGCTATCCAGCTGACCAGGCTTGCTCTAGTCATTTAAATAACCTCAAATTAACCCATTATGAATTTTAGCCAATTTAGACTTTTAGACTCCGCCAATTAGTAAGATAGAATCTTTGGATTTCTGATTAAATTCAGTTTATTGTTTTCCTATGTATTAACATTTTCACTTCTGGGAACATGCTACAGAGATACTAAATGAGTGAGGAAGCATAAATACCTATGTTTACTCTAATGAGTAGAGTAGTGAAATATTAGAAATATATTTTTATTAGGAGAAGAATGGATAATTGAACCATTGAATACTAGTGTAATAAAATTCCATATAGAACTTAAACAACTTAGATCTATATACATTAAATGGATACATCTCTATTAGAAATGTGATGGCTTAATAATACATTGTACCCTTGAAAGTCAGGATTATGATGACCCACACACAGTTGAATATCTTCGTATAACTTTTAAATCCCAAAAAACATTACTATTAATAGCCTACCGTTGACCTTAAGTTTTACCAATGACATAATCAATTAACATGTATTTTTTATGTTTTGTGTGCTATATATATTGTGTATTCTTAGAATAAAGTAAGGTGGAGAAAAATGTTATGAAAAACAATAAAGATTTTATATATATAGTTTATAAATATATAAATTTATATTTATATATTTATATTTAAATTAAATTATATTTCCAATTAAATATTTATATATTTAATTGGAAATGAATCATCATAAACATCTTCACCCTCATCATCCTCACATATAGAGCAGGCTGAGGAGAAGGAAGAGAAGGGGTTGTTGGTCTTGCTGTCTTAGGGAGAGCAGACCAAAAGAGGTGGAGGAGATGGAAGTGGAATCATGATAGGCAGGAACACCGGTGTGAATTTTATTGAAAAAAAATCTGAGTATAAATGGACCTAACATGTTATTCAAGAGTCCAACTATTTAAATATTTTAAATTTTACAAAATAATTTAAATGCATAAAGTATGTATTTTATTTATACAAATGTAATATAAGTACAAAAAGTATACAGACAGATAATATCCCCAGAAAATCGATTTTCAGAGTGATTGAAATATTTGACATCTGGCACACCAGGGACACTAACCAATGAGAACAGATGCTGCCAATGCATGGACCATGTTTTTTAAGGTTCATTTCTGGATGTGACATAATCCTTTTAACTATAGTTTACTTGGGAGTTCCAGGAGGTCAGAAGAGAGAGTTAGATGACCAGAAAGTAGTCTAATAACTGGTTGGGAGAAGGGGGCAGAACATATGGAATTTTATTTTATCAACTGTCATGGAAGTATTTCAAGGTCTCAATGTCCAACATGGGTATACTGGCTGAATATCAACTCTGATAGGTGAAGGAAAATTGCCTAGATAAGATTTTTAAAAATGCCTATCTTTGTGTGTGTATGTGTGTGTATACATATGTGTATGTACATGTATACTTAACACACATGTATAAATGTATAAATGTGTCTCCATATGTGTTTGTTTTATTTTTAAAAGACAATGCTGATATTACAATAGTCATATTTTTATGTGTTTAAATTTTTGACACTGAACAGAAATTGTGTAGTGTAAAATATTAATGTTTTGAATGGTGTATACATGTCAAATGACTAAAGTAAGATAATTAGCATAGACACCACCTCACATACTAATCATTTATTTATGGTGAGAACACTTATATTGCCAAAATAAGTTTTTAATTGGTTAAAACTTTAGTTAAAATTTCTAGTAATATTAGCACAAAAAGTTTGTGCTTCAAAACTCCCTAGCAGATAAAATAGTTAAAAAAAATAACTAAAATGATATAACTAGGTTCAAATACTAGAACATAAATGCCAGGGGTGAGATAGAACACAGAAAAGCAAAAATCTTAATAGGAATTTTGCCATGGAGAGTCTGTCGGATGCAGGATCTACAGATTGGTACTGGGTAGATTAGGTATGATAATTTTGAGGAATTTCTGTTAACATCAGAAATAATACAAAGGAGGCCACTATCACCACATCTATCCAACACAGGGAGGAACGTACCCAATGCAATAAGACAAGAAAAGGAAGTACATATCTATGAACTATTGAAAAGAAAGTATCAAATGGTCCTTATTGTCAGATTATAAAACTGTACATATAGGAACTACAATAGAATTTAAAGAAAGCCTATTAGAAATAATTTAACATTAAGCAAAGTCATTAGAAATAGAATGGATATGCAAAAACAAACAGATAATATTCAATATAAAATGTAGTAGCAATATTTTATTCAAATAGCAATCACACTTGTATAAATATGTATAATTTTTTTAACTTTTATTTTAGGTTGGGGGTATATGTGCAGGTTTGTTATATAGGTAAACTCATGTCACGTGAATTTGTTGTACACATTATTTCATCACCCAGATGCTCAGCCTAATATGCAATAATTATTTTTTCTGCTCCTCTCCCTGCTCCCATTCTCTACCCTCTAGTAGATCCCAATTTCCATTTTTTTCTTCTTTAAATTAACGTATGCTTTAGTGTAATTACAATATAAATATCAAAAGATGTTCTCATGGAATATATGGAGCTAGTTATATATATATGGAAGAACAAGTAATAAAATAGCCCGTGTTTAGAAAAAAACCTTGGAATCTTGCCTTACAGTATCTCAGAATTTACCATAAAATCTTATTTCAGAGTATGATATTGATACAGGAGTACACAAACACACGGAACCATGTCTTAGTCTGTTTTGGCATCACTGTAAAGAAATACCTGAGGCTGGGTTATTTATGATAAAAAGAGGTTTAATTGGCTCATGGTCCTGCAGGTTGTATAGTAAACATGGTGCCAGCATCTGTTTGGATTCTGGTGAGGCCATAGGGAGCTTCTAATTATGTTGGCAGGCAAAGTGGGAGCCAGCATATAACTTGGTGAGATAGGTACAAGAGAGTTGGGGTGGTGCCAGGCTCTTTTTCAACAGCCAGATCTCATGTGAACTAACTGAGCAAGAACCTTCTCATCATTAAGGGATGGTGCTAAGCCATTCATGAGGGACCTGTCCCCGTGATCCAGTCACCACCCATCAGGCCCTACATTCTAAATTGGGAATCACATTTCAACATGAGATTTGGAGGAAACAAACATGCAAACCATATCAAACCATGTAGAGAAGCATAAAACAGAGGCACACACGGGTGGGGATGTAATATATCACAGAAGCAGCATTATAGCGCAGTAGGGAAATAGTGGAATACATAACAAATGCTGCTAGGATAACCAGGTGTTCATTTGAAAGAGACAATTAAGTTGGACTCCTAAAACACCATTGATTAAAAAGAATTTAAGATTTTTTAAATGTGTATTTATACCTACTATGTTTCATTCACTGTTTCAAGGGCTTTATACATATTTATTAATGTAATATTCAAACTATTATTATAACTATTATACAATCATCATCCTCGTCTTACAAATGTGCCAACAGAGGTAGAACATAAAGGCAAAACATTAAAATTATGAAACATTTTTCTAACTTCTGTGTAGTAAGTATATCTTTTAAAAGCACACAAAGCAAAAATCATAATAAAAAAATTTCACTACACTAAAGATCAAAACCTTTATTTCACAAAAATAAGACAAAAGATTTAAAAGACAAAGCTTTTGAGGAATATTTTCCTATGTATATTACTAATACAGTGCTAGTATCTAGAATTTATAAAGATACTCTAAAAATCTTAATGAGAAAGTAGACAAAGCAGGAATTCACAAAAAAGAAACAAAAATGGTTAAGAAATATATCAAATATGCTAAACTTCATTAGCAATGAAGATATGCAAATTAAAGCCACAGTGAGGTTCCATTTCACATTCATCAGATTTTCAAATGTGAAAAAGCTGAAAAATGCCAAATGGTGGAGAGGAATAGGATGAGCTGAAACTACCATGGACTGCTGGTCCAACCAATTTGGATAGAACAATTAGGGGTAATCTCATAAAACTAGCAGATTGGATCATCCCTGTATCTCTGGTCCTACATTATAGGAACACTAGAAACAATGTAAATGTACACACAGAGACAGGCACTTCTAGGTCATGTATTTAGTTTTATATTAAAGAATCTAAAGTTAATTTTAACTTGATATTTTGTTGAACATGCTACAAATGCTCAGATACTGAAAAACACTCTGGGCACTCACAAAGCCTATATATTCATGAAAGATGTTTAAAAGCTATTACTTCTGGCTGTAAAACTCTGCAAGAATTTTTTCAGAGGAAACCCAGCCACTTGGAAGAGAACGTGTCCAATGTCCCCCAGAATCTACCCAATGAAAGGAATGAGCCTATTATTTGCAGTTTCAGGAAGCCAACATTGGTCCTCCAGTCCCTTATGAATTCTGGGTGAAAAAAAGAACTTTGAGAATCTGCTATTGCCAATAGGAGGCCCATGGTGATGAGATGTGGAAGATACTTGAACAAAGCTCCTAAATAATGTATGTTCTGCCTGTCTCCTAGAGGTCCTCTAAGGATGGAACCTGTAGTATCTGATTATAATCTACTTATTGTAAAAGCAGTCTTCAGTTGGGAACAGGACTGCAGAAATTCCATTCTTCTGTGGTCTGTAGACTTGACCATCTCTCTGCCATCCAGGAAAACATTATTCCTTTTGTTGTAAAGTTTGTGTTTCTGTTATTATTTTGCACACTAGGAAATACAAAACCCAATACATCACCTAACTTAGCAGCAACCTGTAGAAAAATGTTTCAATATGCCTGTCTTTGTTTTAATCTTCTATGTTAGGCATCCTTTCTTTAATGCAGTAGTACTTCAAAGTGTTAGTAAAAAATTTCAATATGAAGACATAAATAATATATATGTAAACCAATAAATACAATTAGTGTACAATTAGAATTGCAGTTTTCTGGTTCCCATTTTCCATTTAATATCCACAGATGACAATTAAAGGATGTAGAAGTTTCTTGTTCAGGTCTGATAACTTGTGTTACTAGGGTAATATAAAATACCTCTTTTTAAACACAGACTACCTCTACAAACTTTTATTTTTTTGCTTAGCTAGAGGCGAAGGAATAATCCTGAGATCTAGTTCACTCTGTGCTTCTGAAGATTTTTTATTCTAGAAAGATTTTCAGTTTCCATGGTTTTTATAGGAAGTTTTTGTTTGTTTTCTTTTGACAGAGAAATTCAAATAATGAAGAAAACAGGAAATTGGATGGCATAAGCTATTTGCTCTCAGCATGTACTTTCATGCTAGATTTTTCTTAGTAAACCTTTCAGCAAGCTTACTATAGTGAACTGTAATCTAAGTTGACGAAATATACTGTCCCATCACATTGGCTCATTTTTTACAAAATTGATAACACAAAGCCCCCAAAGGAATGTGAACAAATTGAAACCTTTATATACTGTTAGTAAAATGTAGACAGTTTTACAGTCTTTTTTTTAAGTATATGCATTGTCCAAAAAATGTTTCCTTTAGGAGTTTGCTTATGGTTATATTCCCAAAATATATGTTAGCAAAAAAAAGCAAAATGTTTATCAGGTGGAAATTGGTCATACAATTATATTATATTTATCCAATGAAATTATCAATGGCTAAATAATTTTCTATGTGATGATATGGGTATAGATAAAAACATATATATTTTAAGATTTAAAAGCAAAGTTTTGAAATTATATATCATTTGATACTGTCAATAAATAGGCAATCAGGGATTGGGATAAAGGAAGAAGTGTGTGTTTTGTGTGTATACTAAAAATATAAATACAGTATTATATAATATAACTTTTATTGCTTTTTAAGGAAGGAATTTAAAAGTCAAACTAATCAATTTTAGATAAATAAGAAGGGCAGAACAGAGGGAAACTTTTCCTTTTCACTTGGTGCTTTTCTGTATAATTAATACTTCTGTTTTTTATTCATTGTTCAAAATGTACCAACAGAATTACCTAGATATTTGTAATATGTGTTAGGTTTTGTTCTTTTTTAGTTCTTTGTATTAATAATAAGTATTGCTGAGCATACACATGAGTAAATATCTGACTCTTTCATGTCTTGGAGAAATGGAGTCTAAACTAGGTGAAGGTTTGAACAATCTGCAAGCTCCAACAGATGGCTAGTGCCTTGGACCTTTAGCCTGGGAAAAGCCCCTTCCTCTGGGCTTTTCTACAATTCTCCATTTCCCATATGCTACAGTCTCCCTTTCCATCTCCTGGGGAGGTCCCAGTGCAAGGAAGGAAAGACTGCTACTTGTTGGGAGGGCTTTTTCTCCAGCTCCAGAAAGCACTTGGCACCTAGATTCTGTAATGAGGCATTGGACAAATCAACTGACTGAAAATATTCTTGGCAATTTTACCGTCCCTATTTTTAACCACATATAAAGGGGATATTTTTCACTGAAATAATCTTGTTGGAGATGCACAGGCCGTGAAGATGTTCCCATTTTTTTCTGGCAGAGATGTTTTCTCAACCCAGATATCTAGGTATCAGCCAATACCCAAGAGGAGAATATGGACTATTGTGTATATGAATTAAATATCTGCTTAGAACTGATGCCATTAAAATATACAAGCAATTGAAGTTCTGCTTCAGATGGCGCACATTACTTAGATATGGTTAGTACAGGGCAATTTGTCACTTGGTCATCTCCACTTTATTTCCTTATATTAGATATCAGGGTCAAATCAAAGCACATTATAAAACAAATTATTTTCCTAATTTTCCTATTAGATTCATAAAATAATTCTATAGTGATAAACTATGTGTTGCAAAGAGGAATTATTTGAAAAGTAGTTTAGCCATGATGTTGTCATGGACTCTATTACCAAGTCAAGGTCAGCTCCTTTCTCACACACCCTCCTGGCTTCCTACAGATCACCTGATGCTATTGAATATATGTTTTCCTCTTCCAAAAGACTGTTAAATCAATGGCATCAGGAAAAGTGTTTATTTGTTCATTCCCCTATACTAAAACCTAGAATTCAAAGATGGTACTTGGTTGAAGATAAGTGCTATGTAAAATGTTAACGTATTTTTAAAAAATGTAATGCATACATAAAGGTTTAAGCCTGTAGGCACATGATCCATACATTTAATAAGGGACAGCACCCAGCAATAAATTTGCATATTCTAATTCCAAGTGTCAGGGTTTTCTCAGTTATATCATAATATATAAAGACTACTAAAATATGGTGTGAAATACATGCTAGAATCCTAGAAAACAATGTAATGAGGAGATGATCTTAGATTTAATAGATGTGTCATTCCGTATACACATATTATTGAGTATGCAAGTCATTGTATCAGATAGTAGGGCAGATACAAATACCAGGACTGCATCCTCATTTAGAATATTCAGGCTGGGGAAGAGAGAAACAACCAGAATAAAATGTAAAAAGTACCATGAAAGAGACACAAATAATGTATTCTAGGACTACAGAGAGTATCCGTCATTTACAGTCATAAGCTGCCTATTTCTAAAGTTTAAGTATACAAGAGCTTGGCATTTTGATTGCCTTAATTTATTTTTTGAAGTTCTATATCCACACTAAATATCCTATATACATAGATCTCTGACTGAATTTTGAAATGATGCATGTATATTCACCAACTTGTGTGTCCTTTGTGTGTTGTAGCTTATCCCTAGGCAAATCCAAAAGTCCTTGCATTTAAGAAAAAGGTATTAAGTATCAAATATAAAATAAATAAATCCTAGGACTCCAAAGTTAAAATAAGTGTAAAAAATGCTAGCGTAGTAGTGAACGACTTGTGAAGACTGAAAATTTGCTGCACTTTAGGAGCCTTAAAATCCAGAAAGGAAATGTCAATCAATCTGCTAAATGATATTGAAGTCTTTTCTTCCACCAGGAAACTGGGTAAAAGGAAGGGCTGGGTCTTAACATTGGAAGCACTTGTGACAAAATAGCAGGTACTGGAGGCTTTACTTATTTGACATCATGTTTGTAACAAGTGACTTAAGCAATGAAACTGAGAGGTAAGAAAATTTTCCAGGTCAGTTTTTATTGCTAGACATCTGAAACTTTATGAGAGTTATTTTAATACCCATCATAAAATAATGAATGTTAAAAATAACAACAACAAAATAATAACATTGTGATGGTTAATTTTAGTTGTCAACTTCACTGGGTCATCAGGCGCTCAGATATGTGGTTAAACATTATTTCTGAGTGTGTCTCTGAGGATGTTTCTGGATGAGATTAACACTTGAATCAGTACACTGAGTAAGCCATACTGTCCTCCCTAATGTAGGTGAACATTATGCAATCCCTTGCATGCCTGAATAGAGCAAAAGGAGGAATAAAGGAGACTCAGTCTCTCTGAATGATAATCTTCTTTAAGCTGAGACATTGGTCTTCTCCTGCTTTCAGATTCAGACTAAAACTTACACTATCAGCTGTCCTGGTTCTCAGTCCTTCAGCGAGCAAATCTTGTGACTTCTCAACTCCTGTAATTGTGTGAGCCAATTTCTCTAATAAATCATCTCTCATCTATCCACTCATCTCTCTCATATATATATATGTGTATATATGTGTGTATATATATATATATGTATATATATATACATATATATATATATACACACATATATACACATATATACCTATATTAGGGAGGACAATCTGGCTTACTCAGTCTACTGATTCAAATGTTAATGTCATACAGAAACACCCTCAAAGACACACTCAGGAATAATGTTTAACCATATATCTGGGCACCAGATGACCCAGTGAAGTTGACAACTAAAATTAACCATCACAATATTATTATTTTGTTGTTGTTGTTTTTAACATTCATTATTTTATGATGGGTATTAAAATAACTCTCTCTCTCTATATATATATATATGTATATATATAAATAAAACCTCTCTCTCTCTATCTACCTATCTAGTCTATCTATCCTACTGTTCTATTTCTCTAGAGAACTCTACCAAAACAACAGTTATTATTTAATAAGTAGTTCCTCAGTGTCAAATTCCATCTTATTATTCTATCCTCATCTCAAGGAGATGATAACTTTGATTACATGCATTCTAAAGACAAGTATACTATGTCACAAACCTTAATTAACTAACCATAATTAACTAACTGGACTCAGTTAATTGCAGAGAAGATTAAACAAGGTTTTTGAGGACATTTCCTGTTATGAAATGGCAGCATAGAAGCAAGTTGGCTTCACTTCCCCACACAGAAAACCAAAATCATCATAAGCCACTGAGATTACCATAAGTAATACCGCAGAACTCAAAATATGAGGTTGAGACAGTTCCTGGAGCCACAAAGAAGTGAACAGAATCTGAGCAGATGGTAAGAGAACTGGACTTTCAAATCCACGACACCCTCCAATCCTTCTGCCTAGCAGCAAGTGCACATTTAATTTCCCTGAGATTAATGGTTTATAACAACGGAAAAGGTGAGATTGAGGTGGACTACCAGTTCCTTCATCATTTTGGGTTCCATGGAAGAAGGTTTGTCTCTGTCTCAACCCACAAGAAACATCAAAAGTACATAGAGAGATATCTCTCTAAAGACAACTAGAGACAAAGAGGGGAAGTAGAACTACCATACTTAGCTCAGGAAACTGTGCTCTGTAACTTGGCCAAAGGAGATGCCAAATCGGAGTGGCTATTCAGCAATGCTGCGCTGTAGGAGGCATGTTTCACAGCTTCCCTAGGCACACACCCCTAGCCATCCTTCCCACTGTTGGGATACCCTCTTTGGAACCCCCCTTATTTTGAAGGAGCACTGCTACAATTGTTTACCAAAGCTGAAGCAAACCGGGGCTTAAGCCACCATCCAGTGCCACAAAAAAGGCAGCAACTTCATGGAAAATAAAAAGAAAGAAATCTAATAGGTAAATTAAAAAGACTCTCTAAGAAACTATACTCAGTAAAAACCAAAACAAACCAGAGTGAGAAGACTGGAATAAATAACTAATCCTTCAATGCAAAGGTATAAACACAAAACCACAAGAGACAACAGCAAACAGGGAACCGTGAACTCTCTAAAAGTAAAAAGGAAGGCACCACTGACTGACCCTAATGAGATGGCAATGTGTGAGCTCTATGACTAAGAAATCAAAATAGCAGTTAATAAAAAATCTATGTGCTCTCCAAGATAAAATAAGAAGGCAATTCAGAAGTGTGTCTGAGGTGGGTGATTCACCTGAGGTCAGGAGTTCAAGACTAGCCTGGCAAACATGGTGCAACCCCATCTCTACTAAAAATACAAAAAATTAGCCGGGTGTGGTGGCAGGTGCCTGTAATCCCAGCTATTCAGGAAGGTGAGGTGGGAGAATCGTTTGAACCTGGGAGGCAGAGGTTGCAGTGAGCTGAGATGGTGCCGTGGCAATTCAGCCTGGGCAACAAGAGCAAGACTCCATCTTAAAAACAAAACAAAACAAAAACAACAATGACAACAAAAAATACAAAAAAAAAAGAAAAAATATGTCAGAGAAATTTAGCAAACATTGAAATAATAATAAACAGAAATCTTGGAACTGGGAAATATATTTGCTATTTTTTATATATAATTTTATATATAAAAGAAATTATACATTAATTTTATATAATTTTTTAATTCAAAATATATAAAAGAAATTATATATTTAAATATATATATATATATATATATATTTTTTTTTTTTTTTTTTTTTTTTGAGACAGAGTCTTGCTCTGTTGCCAGACTTGAGTAGAGTGGTGTGATCTCGGCTCACTGCAACCTCTGCCTCCCGGATTTAAGCAATCCTCCTGTCTTAGCCTCCTGAGTAGCTGGGATTGCAGGCGCCTACCACCATGCCTGGCAAATTTTTCTAATTTTAGTAGAGACGGGGTTTCACCATCTTGGCTGGGCTGGTCTTGAACTCCTGACCTCATGATCCACCTTCCTCAGCCTCCCAAAATGCTAGGATTACAGAGATGAGCCACCGTGCCCAGCCTGAAATTATATTTTCGAAGTGCTGCGAGCAAAAACTGCCATTAAAAAACTTATCATACATTCACTAAAAATAAAAAGCAATGAATGAAAATGTACTACCAGAGAAAATCACATGATCACAAAGGAAGATAGTGAGAAAATAAAGAAAAAGGGAGTTACAAAATGACCAGAAAACAAGCAGCAAAAGTCAGTAGTAAGTCCTTACTTATCAATAATTACACAAGGTAAATTTACTTAATTCTTTAATTAGAAGACCTAGAGGGGCTGAATGGAAAACAAAAGGTCTCCACTATATGCTGCCTACAGGTTATCTACTTCACATATAAAGACACATATAGATTGAAAGTGAAGGAGGAGAAAAAGGTACTTCATGCAAGTGGAAAGCAAAAAGGAACAAGAGTAGCAATTCTCATACTAGATAAAATGAAATCCAAGTCAAAGACTGTAAAAAGAGACAAAGAAGGCCACTATATAATGATAAATGGGTCAATTCAACAAGAAGATATAACAATTATAAATATCTATGCACCCAACACTGGAGCATCCATGTATATAAAGCAAGTATTAATAGATAAAAGGAGAGATACACTGCAAAATAATAATAGTTGCGGGACTTCATCACTGTACTCTTAGTAATGAACAGATTATCCAGACAAATATCAACAAAGAAGTACCAGAATTTAACTACATACTAGACCTAGTAGACCTAACTGACACTAGACTAACTACAAGGAAAGAGTGAAGGCTCAAATAAATAAAATCAGAAATGAAAAAGAAAACACAACAGCTGTGATCACAGAAATACAAAGAATCATTAGAGGATATTATGAAGAAGTATACACCAACAAACAAAAAACCTATAAAACATGGATACATTCCTAGACTCATGCACACCACCAACATTGAATCATGAAGAAATAGAAAACCTGAACAGATCAATAATGAGTAATAAGATTGAAAATGTAATAAAAAGACTTCCCATGAAAGAAAAGACTAGGACCTGATGGCTTCACTGCTGTATTCTATAAGACATTTAAAATATTAATGACAATTGTATTCAAACTCTTCAAGAAAATTTGAACAGAAGGGAATAGTTATAAACTCATTTCATAAGGCCAGCATTTCCCTGTTTCCAAAACCAGGCAAAAACAAAATAAAAAACAAAATCATAGGCCAATATCATCAATGAACATAGATACAAACATCTTCAGCAAAATACTAGCCAACTAAATTCAACAACACATTGAAAAGATCAGTCATGATCAAGTGGGATTCATCCCAGGATACAGAAATGATTCAACATATGCAAATCAACCAACATGATACATCATGTTGTTAGAACCAAGGAAAAAAATTATATAACCATTTCAATAGATGCAGAAAAAACATTCAATAAAATTCAACACCTTTTCACAACGGAAACCCTCAACAAACTGAATGTAGAAGGAATATACCTTAAAATAATAACATTCACATATGACAAACCCACAGCTAACATCATACTAAATGAGAAAAACCTGAAATTGTTTTCTCCAAGATGTGGAATGAGAAAAAGATGTCCACTTTTACCACTTCCATTCAACATAATACTGGAAGTCTTGGCCAGAGCAATTAGGCAAGAAAAAGAAATAAAGGGCATTCAAATTAGAAAAGTCAATTAGCCTTGTTCAAAAATGAAATGATCTTATACTTAGAAAAACCTAAAGACTCCACCAAAAAATTATTAGAACTGATTAAAATTCAGTAAAGTTGTAAGACACAAAATCAACATACAAAAATCAATAGCATTTGTGTATAACAACAGCGAACAATTTGAGAAACAAATCTAGAAAGCAATCCCATTTACAAAAGCCACAAAGGATATAAAATACGTAAGAATCACTTTAACCAAAGAAGTGGAAGATATATATGAGGAAAACTATAAAATACTGATGAAAAAAATTGAAAAGGACACAAAAAAATAGAAAGATATTCTATGCTCATGGATTGGAAGACTTAATATTGTTAAAATGACAAGTCTACCCAAAGCAATTTATAGATTCAATGCAATCACCATCAAAGTACCAATGACATTTTTTACAGAAATAAAAAAAAATCAAAAATTTACATGCAACTACAAAAGACCCAGAGTAGTCACAGTAGTCCTGAGCAAAAAGAACAAAGCTGGAGAGATAACTCTATATGACTTCAAAATATACTACAAAGCTATCATAAACAAATCAGCATGGTATTGAGAGAAAACCAGGCAAAAAGACTGATGGAACAGAATAGAGAACCCAGAAATAAATCCACACATTTACAGCCAACTCATCTTTGACCAAGTTGCCCATAATATACAATGGGGAAAGTCTCTTTAATAAATAGTGCAGGAAGGACTGAGAAACGATATGCAGAATAATAAAATTAGACATCTATCTCTCACCATATACAAAAATCAAATTCAAATAGATTAACGACTAAAATATAAGACCTGAAACTATGTAACTACAAGAAGAAAATATTGGGGAAATGCTCTAGAACATTGAGCTGGGCAAATATTTTTTGTGTAAGACCTCAAAAGCATGGACCACAAAAGCAAAAGCAGACAAATGAGATTACAACAACCTAAAAAACCTTTTCACAGCAATGGAAACATTCAACAAAGTGAAGAGACAACTCATAGAATGGGATAAAATCTTGCAAACTATTTATATGACAAAGGATTAATAGCCAGAATATATAACGTCCACAAACAACTCAGTAGCAAAAAGATAAATGAACTGATTTTAAACTAGGCAAAAGATCTGAATAGACATTTCTCAACAGAAGATATGCAAATGGCCAACAGGTATATAAAAAATGCTCAACATCAGTAATCATCAGAGATGCAATTCAAAGCTACAATGAGATATCATCTCACTCCAGTTAAAATGGCTTATTTCAAAAAGGGAATAACAAATGCTGCCATAGATATGAAGAAAGGGGAACCCTAGAACACTGTTGGTAAAAATGTAAATTAGTACAGACACTATAGAAAACTCTATGGAGATTTCTCAAAAAACTACAACTAGAAATACTATATGATTTAGCAATATCACTGCTTGATATATACACAAAAGAAAAAAAATCAATATATCAAAGAGATAGCTGCTGCAGTCTCATGTTTATTGCAATATTGCAACAATATTCACAATAGCCAACATGTGAAATCAAGCTAAAAGCCCATCAATGTATGAATGGGTTAAAAAAGGTATATGTATAAAATGGAATGTTAGTCATAAAAAGAGTGAAAACTTGTTATTTACAACGACATGGATGAAACTAGAAGTTATTATTTTAAGTGAAATAAACCAAGCACAGAAAGACAAATATCACATGTTTTCACTCATATGTGGGAGCTAAAAAGTGGATCTCATGAAAACAAAGAATAGATTGGTAGTTACCAGAGGCTATAAAAGGTAGGGAGAAGTGGAGGTTAAAGACTGGCTGACTAATATGTACAAATATATAGGTAGTGAAAGAAATGAGACTTTGTGTTTGACAGATCGGTAGGTAACTATCTTTAACAATAACCTATCATGCATTTCAAAAGAGCTAGATGAGAATAATTCAAATGTTCCTAGCATAAAGAAAATATAAATATTTAAGGTGATAGACTTTCCATTATTCTGATTTAATCTTTGCACATTATACTAATGTACTGAATTATCACATGTGCCCCCAAAATAGACATCAATTAAAAAGAAAAAATTGAAAAAGGTGGAATTCATTTTTAAAAAGAGACAACAGAAAATAAATGATAGAGACTAATTAAAAAGCTTCAAAATTCAGAAAAAAATGATTTTTTATTTCAGCCAAACTGAGTATATTATATATTGGAGGTAGTGATAACGTTATAGAATCTGATTGGAGTGATAATTATAGTGGTGGAAGTTGAACAACTGGCTATATGATACCTCTACATACAGATACATAAATAGTGTGAGGGGATCAAAACCTCCTATTGTCTTCGACATTGCAGGCCATTTTAATAAATATCTTTATAAATATTTATATATTCCACATACTACATTATACCAGGGACTTTAGTGAAATTAAAATATACA
This sequence comes from Homo sapiens, assembly GCF_000001405.40. Taxonomy (NCBI): domain Eukaryota; kingdom Metazoa; phylum Chordata; class Mammalia; order Primates; family Hominidae; genus Homo; species Homo sapiens. Next base: position 49,055,195 of record NC_000007.14, on the reverse strand, counting down.
GCAAGAAAGGCCTAAGGTATAATAATGGGTAAAAAAACATTCATTAATCTGAAATCCAAGGAAGAAAATTGACAGACTCTTGGAGATTTCTCAACATTGAGGTTTTTCCATAAATTGGTTTCAGCAAAAAGAGATTTAAGCCTTTTAGAGACTGATGAAAAGAAAAGGAAAGTGAAAATCAAAAAAAATTCTAGCAATGACCAAGGCAGAAAATTAATTACAGGAGCAAGGAATTAAAGGGGATGTTTAAGCTGAAGAACAAAGTATAGGGATTCTCTTGTCAGACCAGAGTGGATGACATGGGGAAACATGAGGAGTACATGGGGAAACATGAGGAGTACAGCTACCAACATTAGGGAGCCAGGACAGGGGAAACTGCTCAGCAACTGTGCTGGGTGATTTATATACCTTCTCTTGTGGCCATCCTTCCAGTACTTACTCAGTAGTTATAACCACTTCAAACTTGAAGATAAGAAAATCAAGGTTAATAAATATGAAATAAATGCCTTATAGGCAATGAATACTCCACCTAGGTTTTTTACCCATAACTGCTGGAGACCAGCATTTGCTCATTCTAGGACATGGAAAGTGAGTCGGTGGTGGTGCATGCTATGGCGAAAGCGACACAGCCATAAATGGGGAAAACGAAGCAAGTACTGGGAAAGAAAGAAATATTAGAAAGAATTAACTAAGGAAGATGCTGACGATGGTGGAGAATAAAATAAAAATTACCTTTTCCGTTAACCAAACTCAATCACTGGGAGGCAATAGATCATAGTAGTTAAGCACACGGGTGTGAAAGTAGACTCTCAGGATTCTTATGCTGGTGTATGAACTTAAGAAAAATATTTAATTTACCCAGAACTTAGTCTTTTCATATAAAAGATAGATTTTCAGTGGAATATTTTTATTGCTGAGATTGTCTCAATCAATAATAAAATGGTTTCTCTCATCACACAGAGCCTGGGGAAAGGCAAGTTCCCAGTATGGTAATCAGCCTGGCTCCAGTGCTCTATTTTCTTGGCTCTGCCCTCCTCTGTGTAGTCTTCCTCCTCTGACTCAGGAAGGCAGCCATCCCGTGATATTACATCCAGACCTATCAGAATCCAGAGGAAGGAAATAGATCACACCATCCTGCAACTCATGAACAGTGAGAAATTGTTTCTCAGAAGGCACATGTAGATGCCTACCCACTGGGACAACTGAATCGCCAGTGGTCGGAGTTTAATCACAGCCTCTTGCCTAAATGCATCCTTAGCAAGTTAGTAGGGCTTCCACAATTCGCTTCTTGAACCATCCTCTATTCCTGGAGCTGGGAAGGGATCATCTTCTTCTGACACAGAAGAAGAATTGGAACAAATTCAGATAGTTTTGGAAGTGGAAGAGCGGAGAAATGCATGCTGGAGGAGCAAACAGTACCTACTAGATACAGTTGTTGAAAAGCTTAAACCACATAATATATATATAAAGGATTAAAATGGCTTCTGGTACATATTTCCTCAGTGAACATTAGTAATTATTATTGTTATGTGCTCAGTACTGAGCCAGGACTTTCTACAATTTAATCATCACCATCATTCTATGAAGCATGTAACACTTCTTTGTTTTTCATTTTGCAGTTGAGTAGAATAAACTCAAAAAAGTTTAAGAAATTGGCTGGAAGCCATAAATGTAGTCACGAAAACCAGCATTTTAATCCCCTGAACTGTCTGAGTGTAAAACCAATGACCTGAAATGCTTCTGTTTAGTGACCCCACCCCATGTAAAAGTATCGAAGCATTACTGTGGTATATAGTAAGGATACCCTTCTCCCCATAGAGTGTTTATACTCAGACCTCCATGCTAGAGGAAAGGAACTTCCAGAGCCATGACTCCTGGGAACCAGAAGGCTAAGATAGTTTTACTTCAGGAGTGCACTTCCTCTACACATCATTTTCATGTTGAAGAATATTGCAGTAGACAAGGTCCTCATTATCTGTCTGTTTCTAATTAGCAGGGCACACACAAAGAAATTCTAATATTTTCTTCCTTTTTCTAATAAAAAAAGAAAGAAATACCGTTGCATTTAATGGTAAAAAATGCAGTGAAACAAACTGATGAATAACAATCTGAATAATCCACACTCATTTGAAGATACTTGTTGGAGAGAATCTTAAAATATCTGTAATTTTCATCCTGTTAACAATTTATGAGGTCAATTGCCTATCTGCACAGAAAAGCACTGCAATTATTTTGGAGACTGTGAAATATTGCAAGTTTTAAGGTTCACTTTTCTCTTGATAAGCTGTTGTTTTACTCATTCAATAAATGGTGGAAGTGACACATCTGGAAGTGTCAGTGTTGAAGCCCCAAAGAACACAAACACTTTTATAAAACAATTTTAATTGCAAGGAATATTCCAGTGAATGAGATTCAGTAATTACAGAAATTTTCATGAAAAAGTCAGTTCCCATAAAAGTGTTCTAACGACAATTGAATAATTTGAATTTTCAACTGGGAAGGCAAATTTCTTAAGCTCAAGGTCTCAAATACAGCTTGACCCAGTGTCATTTTAAACTACTAATACAGTGAATTTTCTCAGGCAAAGAATCTACATTTCTAAAAGATAAAAATAAATAATGAATAAATAAATATATAAGCAAGAGGATATGATTCACTTTTAATGTTCCTTCAAGTTTCATGTTTAAATCTTTAAATTTTACCTTAGAATTGCCCTGAAACCAATTATGTAATTCTTTATGTGTTCAGAATAAACTTTCTGTAAAGTTTAGACTAAACTTTCCTTGAATTATAAACTCAAGGAAAAGGATGATTTGGAGTATTTCATTCATTCTCTCTTGTTTCTTGAGTCCTTCATGTAAAGTATTTCTGCCCTGAGTATATTATCTAATTATAGTAATACAAATAATATTACAGATACATAATGTGGTAAACTATGGCATGCATTATTCAAGCCCTTTATATTTATTAACTCTTTTAATTTTTATAATCCAATAAAATAGTGCTAATAAATACCCAATTTAGAGATCAGGAGAGAAAAGGTATAGAAAAATGAGAGAACTTGCCTGAGGCCACTCACGTAGCATCAGAGCAGGAATAAACATAAATGCCAGATATAGATTTTGGAGAGAGGGCTGTATGGGCACAATTGCACTTCAACAAAACATTTTTTATTTGTATAAATTTAGAGGGCACAAGTGCAGTTTTGTAACATGTTATATATATTTCATAGTGGTGAAGTCTGACCTTTTAGTGTAAACATCATCCCAATAGTGTACACTGTATCTGTTAGGTTATTTATCATTCCTCATTCCTCTCCTACTCTTCCTAGTCTCCAATGTCAATTTTTCCACACTGTATGTCCATGTGTGCACATTATTTAGCTTCCAATAATAAAAAGCAGTACAGTATTTGACTTTCTGAGTTATTTCACCTAATAATTCATGGATGACCTCCAGTTCCATCTATGTTGCACAAGACATGATTTTATTTTTTAATGGCTGAGTAGTATTCCATGATATATATATACATACCACATTTTCTTTATCCCATTATCCATCAATGAGAATTTAGCTTGAGTCTATATCTTTACTATTGTGAATAAGTGCTACAATACACATGAGTGGAGGTATCTTTTTGATATAACGATTTCTTTTCCTTTGCATAGATACCTAGTAGTGGGATTGTTGGATTGAATGGTAGTTTTGTTTTTAGGTATTTGAAAAATCTTCACACTGTTTTCCATAGAGGTTATACTAATTTACATCCCAACAAACAGTGTATAAGCATCCCCTTTTTTCTACATCCTCACCAACATCTGCTATTTTTTAAGCTTTTAATAATAGCCATTCTGACTGGTAGAAGATGGTATCTCATTGAAGTATTAATTTACATTTCTTTGACATTAATGATGTTGAGTATTGTTTTCATATGCTTTTTGACCATTTGTATGTCTTCTTTTGAATTTGACTTTTGATTATCTACAATAATCCTTGACATTTATGTGACTTTAGAATTCAATAGGCATTTTGCTTGTATTAACATATTCAATGTTTTCCACAATCCTCTGGTGAGGTAATAGGAGCTCCTTTGTATATTCAGGGAAGTCAACTGTGAAGATCTTAGGATTCCAGCCAGTATTTTCTCCATTATAACTGCCAGAAAATTAATTACAAGTAAGGTCTGATACATTGCCTGGCAAATAATAGTTGTACAATAAATATGTATTAAGTAAGTGTTTGGGGAAATTTTTGAAAGCTTTAATTATAATGTGGTTTGGTATTTAATTGCCTGTGTGCCCACTGAGAGCCCCAAATGCCACACCACATACATAGAATTGGCAGAAGACCCTAACATGAAGAAATGGAAGTTTTTAAGTAGCAAAGGAGACAGTTTTTGTTCTTGTAGAAAGTATACATATGTGTACAAATAAAGTAAAACATGCCCCATTACATGGGCAGAAAGAGTGATGCGGTAGCATGAAAGGAGGACTGAAAGATTCTGCCCAGAGAGTGAGACGCTCCTGCTCCAAAGAGAGGTATCTGAGATGCTCCTTGAAAGAGTGAGTAGAGCTTTTGAGAGCTGGAAGCAGAAAACAAAACAAAACAGCAAACATTCTTTGTAGAGGAAACACAGCTCTGTGTTTACAGCTTCTTATCATCTATGGAGTCATGACAGCCCTACAGACTGGGCCCACATCAAGATTAAATGTATCCTGGATTTGATTGTCTTTTTGGAATCCATTGCTATCTCCCTCATCCCCAGCACATTAGCCTTTGACTAGATTATTCACGTCGCCGTCTAATTGATCCACACGCTTCTAATCGAGCCCACTTGTGGTTTATTTCTAAAATAACCAAAGTTACTTTTTAAAATTAAAGCAATTAATTTTACTCACCTGTTTAAAATATATTAATGCGCCCCTGTCATGAATGTAATAAAATCCAAATTATTTGCCGTGGACCCCAGGGCTGCCTGGGCTGATCCACCTTAGCTCTAATGAGCTCTTTTTCTGAACTGTTCCTTCAGCTCAATGTGTTGCAATAGTATTGGAAAATAATCCTGTCCATCAACCTTTTCATGTTGGTCTCTGTTTCAATCCCTGTGCACTTCTTCTGTCTCTTGTGCTTAAAATGTTCCCTTACCAGAGCTTCTTGTGGCTAATTCCTCATAATTCAATAATAAAGACAATAGTTACTTACACAAAAAAGACCCTCTGAACTCCCAAGCTGAAGGGTCCTTCCTTCATTACCCCTCAATCATTGCCTCCATCATTGTCCTCTATTATTTATTACTCTAATGCGACCCATCCAAAGAATATCATTAGCAACATCACTAATTGTTAGAAGAGAGAGGAAACTCTAAAAGAAAAGCTTATATTTTCAAAGGCCTTGCTCTGAATGGCAAGGTAGAAGGAGGGTAGCCAAGGACAATAGGATTACACCTTCTCAAATTCCTCTGCACCTCACATCTTTTCTGTGATTCACAATCAACCCAGGGCAAAATGAAATATTGGGAGCTACCTGGGTTGCAAGTAGGCATGGACTAAGACATGTCAGAAAAGTGAACTCTGACCAGTTCCTCAGTACTGGTGTTCCTCAGCTTGCCTGAAGACCTAGGCATGTCCCAAATATGGACAAATTTTGGTTCTAGGTAAAGGATACAACAGCAATCCAAATCCCAGAATCTGGGTCCACTTGGACTTAGGGTGTACAGAAGCAAAGTATGGCATTTATGGTTCCTCATATGTGGCTTAGATGCCTATGCTCTTTATAAATTATTTTCTTTCCTTACCCTCAGCCACTTTGATCCACTCATACCCTGGTTTCATTTTCCACTTTTGGCATTAAAAATCCACTTGCACTCACGTTCTGACTAAAGACAGCCTGTTTGGCTGAAAACTGAAACCCTTTTGAGCTCCTCCATGGGAGGCCAGACCAGGCTCCCTGGTCTAGCCAGCAACTGGGGACATTCTAAAACTGACAGACTGTTGAGGTGCTTTATTGTCACCCTTTGCATTTTTTTTTTTTTTTTTGCTAGTTACATAAAACAAAATTTGCCAATTTAAAATTCGGCCAGGCGTGGTGGCTCACGCCTGTAATCCCAGTACTTTGGGAGACCGAGGTGGGCAGATCACCTCAGATAAGGAGTTAAAGACCAGCCTTGCCAACACAGTGAAACCCCATCTCTACTGAAAATACAAAAAAAATTAGCTGGGCATTGTGGCAGACACCTGTAATACCAGCTACTTTGGAGGCTGAGGGCAGGAGAATCACTTGAACCCAGGAGGTAGAGGTTGCAGTGAGCCGAGATTGTGCCATTGCACTCCAGCCTGGGCAACAGGAGCAAGACTCCATCTTAATAAATAAATAAAATAAAATGTAATAGTTTGGATAAATGCACAGAACAATGCAACTACCATTCACATCCAGGATATAGAGCAATTCCAACTCCCCAAAAGTTTCCCCCTAGTCTTTTGCAGGTATCCTCACCCTGACATATCCTGGACACTGACACTATCTGATTAGTTTTATCTTGTTTGTTTTATGTATTCTAGAATTTCATATAAATATAAGTGTGTATTATACAGTCTTTTCTGCCATGAATATTGAATAATTTGTATAAAATCAAAATGAGAGCTATATTTCTTAACAAGTTAAAAGAAAGAGGTGTCTCATCATTTTGTTTTATTAGCTGAAACGTGAATATCAAACAGGGTGGCACAGGACTGAGTATACAGGCCAGTTCGAGGTGTTTTGTTGGGGGGAAGGTAGAAGTACTATGAAAGTTTAGAGAAAAAGGCATTTATACCGATAAAAGAACATGATTAAATATTTTTTAATTTACAAATTATTTGAAAGCATGTGTGTTCTCTTCTAAAAGCTTCTTGTTGTAGTCATATTGGTTTAGGTATCTATTTTACCAGGAAGCATTTGCTTTTGATTGTATTATATATAATCCAAATGGAAAACTTTTGGCAGATTTTCAAATGAAGAAACACATTGTGAGAATGTTTTCTGCACTCATTTGCAGCCAATTTGGTCTGGGCAGCTCCAAGGTGCACAGGTTATCCATGACTACAGAAACTTCTTACTGAAGCTTTGCCTCTGTAATGAGATTCAGACCAATTTCACTGAGGAAAATAAGTTTTAACACATGAACTGTTTGTGCTCAGGAATTTCAAAAAGTACAAAGCTATGGGAAACCACCCTCAAAATAAAATAATCTCAGATAGATTCCATTTATAAAGTGAAAAATGGCACTAGAGAACTTTATAGTTTAAGACTGGTATTATCTACCTTCAGAAATGTATGGAACCAATTTGAACTAAAGAATTTATTTTACTGATAATACCTCTTTTCTTTTCATGAAAATTATGTGCGTACTTTCTTGGCTTGTTATCTGTTTAGAAAAACTCATCTTATTCTTTGCGTTGGTTAATTGGTTGACATTTTTTTCCTTCTGGTTTGGCCAATTCAAACTTTTCTTCTGGCTGGAAGGGTGACTTATTGCATGTATTTTTTTTCCTTTTAGTGGTTAGATCTATTTGATGATAGCATTAAATACTCCTAAAAACTGTGAATAGGGATACTACAGTTTAATGGAAAGACTTGGGATTGGAGATGGACTAAGGCTCTGGTTCTTTCTCTGCAAATTATAAATTTTGCATATAGAATATATAACTTATTTTTCCTGAACATGAATTATAGTCCTTCTGAATAATGATAATATAAGTAAAGAATGGTGGTAGACAGAATAATGAAGGCTCTGCCAAAGATGACCATATGTTAATGCCCAAGCCTGGGAATATTTTATCTTACTTTATAAGATAGACTTTGCTCATATGATTAAATTAAGAGTCTTGAAGAGGGGATAATCCTAGATTATTAGGATGAGCCCAATGTAATCATTGTCTCCAGTGTGTTCCTTATTTGGACTTGTTGCAGTTCTTCCCTTCTTTTCATTTTCCATCATATTGGTGATGAAGACCCAGAAACCCACCTTTCCATCAAAATCTTAGATAACAACTCTCCAGTTATGAACAGAGTTGTGCCGATATCAGGACAGGCCATAATTGGTTTCAACTATTAAGTATGGCTAATTTATATCTGGAAAATCTTGAGACTTCCTATTCCTGAGTCAGAATCTCTTCCTAGAATATCCATTACATGTGCCTATGAAAATATAACTTGATTGCTACAGCTCAAACCCTAACATTTTGCACCCCAGTTATATTGAGCTGTTATTTCTCTGAATTTACATTTACATATATAATTTACATTTTTCATTTACTAATTCGTCGTACATGTATATCTATAGATACATTTAAATTGGAAAGTTGTATCTACTTTCCAAAGAGTTTGCTTACAGAAGAACTTTTGGACTCAACTCCTGGGTGTGTATGAATAGTTATATATTTTTCAGCAGATAGTTTGGTTATATTACAATTTAAGCACTCAGTTATTCTTTTTGAACCCTGATACTTTCTGGAATTACTTTTTAAGGGTAAAGATATTTCAATCTACGTTCTATCTAAGCCAGAGGCAATCTGAGATTTACATTTTAATCATTAATTACTTTAATAAGTATCCTAGGAAGCACTTTCCAATTGCTCTATTATTTTTCAAAACCTCTTTAAGCTTCTTATATATCTGATCCAATTATACTTCTGAAGTACTTGTCATTATCTCATTATCTGAGAATTTCTGCTATCTGATTTTTTACTTAGAGATATAATTGCATTTATATTCATATCTCCAGCATATATACATATCCAATGCCATGTAAAAATTTATATCTGCATCAGTCCCTCAACTAGAGTTGCATCTGACTCTGCATTCATCATTTATTATCATCAATATCTTCAATCTCACTCCTTCTGCTGACTCTTTTCTCTTTGAACACGTGTATGACAAATATACAATAAAAGAGATTTATAAGGACCCCATATTCTTTACCAATTGACCTCTATCTCATTTCCTTTATAGCTTAGATAACTGAATAATCAGTTTGTCATCTTCTGTCTACCACTTTTTCATCTGCTCACCCTATATTACTACTAATGCACTGAAAACTTGCTTCCCAAATACATTTAACACATTTATTTAACAAACTAAAATGATATGCTTAGCCTATTATCTCATTTGAGACTCAATCTTCCTTCTGTCTTGATTTTATTTTTAAAGATTTAGGAGGTACAAGTGCAGTTTTGTTACATGCATATATTGCGTAGTGGTGAAATTTGGGCTTTTAATATAATCATTGCCCGAATGTTGAAAATTGTACACATTTAGTAATTTCTCATTCTTCACTTCCCTCCCTCCAACTCTTCCAAATCTCCAGTGTCTATCATTCCATTCTCTATGTCCATGTGTACACATAATTTAGCTCCTGCTTTCAAGTGGAGACATGTGGTGTTTGTCTTTATGTTTCTGAGTTGTTTCACTTAAAATAATGGCTACCAGTTCCATCCATATTGCTACAAAAGACAATTTTTCATTCATTGTAATGGCTGAATACTGTTTCATTATTGATATATACCATGTTTTATTTATCTGATCATCCACTGATGGGCACATAGCCTCATTATTGTGACTATTGCTGCAATAAACAAATGTCCTCCTTTCTTGGATTCCAAAATGTTGTTATTTTTCAGTTCTCATCCTCTGATGATTGCTACCATAAACTATGTACTTACAAGGTTCCAGGCCATATACCTAGAGATTTATGTTTATAATCTTCTTTAATTTTCAGAGTAAATCCTTGTGACAGTTACATTCTGGTTATTCCAAATGAAAAAACTAAGGCATTGACAAGGTAAGTAGCATCCCCATGACATAGCTTGATGTTAGAGGTAGGATTCCAACACTAGCACTGTCTTTGTCCTGTTCAAACTTTCATCCTTTTTGCCTCACCCTAAGTTCCAGTCTGGCTCTTTTACCACTCTGTATTCTCTCTCTCCCACAGGCAAGGCTGCAGTTACCAGCATTATACTGCTGTCTTCCAATCCTACGCCCAACCATGAACAATCAGGCCCATGTGTAAGCAAGTATTAGACAAACCCTCTGGGATATTTCATGGGCATCTCAAAACCAACAAATGCCAAACTGAACTCATCCTATGGCTCATAAACTTGAAATAATTCATTCTGTATTTCTGATCCAATTTCTTGTGGTTAACCAAGCTCCAAACCTGGATGCTATCCATGCCCATCCCTCTCTCTCCCTCATCCCAGCCGACTTCAAGTCTATTGTGGGAGACAGTTTCCTACATAATTCAAGAATCCTTCTAATTTTCTTCTACATTGGTTAGAGACTTATTATTTTTTGCTTTTTCTGCTGCAAATAGGATCAGGTTCAAGTTCCTAAGTTAATTTTTTGAGTAATTATATGCAAGCTCCTTCCCTCTTGGGGACATCCAATACCTCCTTTGTAAAGAAGAAGTAGGTCACAACTATTGTAAACATTTGTGTATAATTTTCTCTGTGCCTAAGGCCTTTATGTATGTCAGCTTATTTAATTCTATTGTGAGATGGAGCTTTTAGTAGTCCCATTTCATGGATGAGAAAACTAAGCCCTAATAAGGGTATGGCAATTTCCCATTGTTACACAGCTTTTAAAAGTGCCTTGAGATTCCATCCAGATGATCTGACTCTTACCCCTGCTCTCAATATAGAGCTAGATAATTCCTAAGATAGGCTCCTATAGTTTTGTGTAACTTCTTCGAAATATTGCTCTAATTTTAAGTCTACCACTTAAAAGGTATGTGACCTTGGAAAATATCTTTTCCTCAGTGTATGTTCTTGGCAACTTTGTCAAAAATGAGTTCACAATAGGTGAGTGGATTTGTTTCTGAATTCTTTATTCTGTTCCATTTTTCTATGTGTCTTTGTTTATGCCAGTGCCATGCTGTTTTGGATACTACAGCTATGTAGTATAATTTGAAGTTGGGTAATGTGATTTTCATTGTTTTTGCTTAGGATAGATTTGGCTATTCTGAGTCTTTTGTGGTTCCATATAAATTTTAGAATTGTTTTCTCTATTTCTGTGAAGAATGTCATGGTATTTTGATACTGATTGAATTGTATCTGTAGATTGCTTTGGGTAGTATAGACATTGTAGAAATACTGATCCTTCCAGTCCATGAATATGGAATATTTTCTATTTTTTAGTGTCCCCTTCAATTTCCTTCATCAGTGTTTTATAATTTTCATTGTAGACATCTTTCACTTGTTTGGTTAATTCTAAGATATGTAATTTTAGGTATGGCTATTGTAAATGGGACTACTTTAAAATTTTTTTTATATCATTTACGGTTGGCATATAGAAATGCTGCTAATTTTTGTATGTTGATTTTGTATTCTGCAACTTTACTGTATTTGTTTATAAATTCTAATAGTTGTCTTGTGGAGTCTTTAGGTTTTCCCAAATGTAAAATTACATCATCAGCAAACAGGAATAATTTTACTTCTTCCATTCCAATTTGGATGCCCTTTATATCTTTCTCTTGTGATTGCTCTAGTTAGGACTTCCAGTACTATGTTGAATAACAGTGGTGACAGTTGGCATCTTTCTAGTGTTTCAGTTCTTAGAAGAAAAGCTGTCAATTTTTTTTTTCCATCTAATATGATACTAGCTGTAGGTCTGTCACATACTTACATTGCATATTTATTATGTTGATGTATGTTCCTTCTATCCTGTTTTTTGTTTTTATCATGAAGGGATAATGAATTTTATCAGATGATTTTTCAGCATCAATTGAAATGATCATATGGTTTTTATCCTCCATTCTGTTGATATGATGCATTACATTGATTGATTTGTGTATGTTGAGCCATCCTTGTATCTCAGGGATAAATCCCACTTGGTCATGTTTAATGATCTTTCTAATATGTTGTTCAATTCAGTTTGCTAGTATTTTGTTGAGGATTCATCAGAGTTGTTGGCATGTAGTTTCCTTTTTTTGATGTATCTTTGTCTGGTTTTTGGATCAAGATAATACTGGCCTTGTAGAATGAGTTTGGAAGTATTCCATCCCCCACATTTTGAAATAGTTTTTGAGTACGATTGTTATTAGTTCTTCTTTAAATGTTTGGCAGAGTTCAGCAGTGAAGCTATCAGCTCTCAGGCTTTTCTTTACTGGGAGACTTTCTATTACAGTTTCAATCTTGTTGCTTTTTACTGGTCTATTAAGGTTTTGGATTTCTTCTTGGTTTGATCTTGATAGGCTGTACGTCTCTAGGAATTTCTTTATTTTTTCTAGATGTTACAAATTTTTTTGGTGTATAGTTGTTCGTAGTAGCCGCTAATGATCATTTGAATTTCATCAGTAACAGTTGTAATGTCTCCTTTTTTATTTCTGAATTTATTTATTTGGATCTTCCCTCTTTTTTTCTTAGCCTGGCTAAAGGATTGTCAGTTTTGTTTAACTTCTCAAAAAACCAACTTTTTGTTTCTTTGATCGCTTGTATTTTTTAAATTTCAATTTCATTTATTTGATTCTCTGGATCTTTATTATGTCTTTTCTTCTACTAATTGTGGGTTTGGTTTTCTCTTGCTTTGCTTTTCTAGTTCTTTAAGGTACATCATTCAATTGTTCATTGGAAGATTTTCCTCTTCTTTAATGTAGGTGCTTCCCTCTTATTACTGCTTTTGTTGTGTCCCATAGATTTTTGTATGTTGTGTTTCCATTATCATTTGTTTCAAGACATTTTTGTTTCTTCTTAATTTTGTCATTGACCCACTGGTCATTCAGGAGTATTTTGTTTCATTTCCATGTATTTGTACAGTTTCTAAAATTCCTCGTTATTAATTTTGAATGTTATTCCATTGTGGTGAGAGAAGATGCTTGATATTATTTTAATTTTTTGAATTTTTTAAGACTTGCTTTGGGATGTAACTTATAGCCTATCCTATAGAATGATTCATGTGCTGAGAAGAGTGTTTATTGTGCAGACATTGGATGAAATGTTCTGTAAATATCTATCAGATCCATTTCTTCTATATTACAGATTAAGTCCAATGTTCCTTTGTTGATATTCTGTCTAGAAGATCAGTCCAATTCAGAAAGGGGATGTTGAAGTCTCCAGCTAGTATTGCACTGGGGGCTCTATCTCTCTTTAGCGCTAACAATATTTCTTTTACATACCTGGGTACTGCTCCAGCATTGAGTGCACGTGTATTTATAATTGTTATATCTTCTTGTTGAATTGACCCCTTTATCATTATATACTAATTGACTTTGTCTCTTCTAATAGTTTTTGTCTTGATATCTATTTTGTCTTCTATAAGTATAGCTATTTCTGCTGGGTTTTTTTTTTTTTTTTTTGGCTTTCATTGGCATGAAATATCTTTTTACATCCTTTCATTTTCAGTTGATGTGTGTCTTTGTAGGTGAAGTATGTTTCTTGTAGGCAACAGATGAATGGGTCTTGTTTTTTTCATTTATTCACACAGTCTATGTCTTTTGATTGGAGAGGTAAGTCAATTTACATTTAATGCTATTATTGATAGGTACTTACTCCTGCCATTTTGTTATTTGTGTTCTGGTTGTTTTATGATCTTCTCTTCATTCTTTCTTTCATTCCTGTCTTTCCCTGGTAAAGGTGATTTTCTCTGATGATATGATTTAACTTCTTGTTTTTTATTTTTTGTGTATCCATTGTATGTTTTTTGGCTTGAGGTTACCGTGAGGCTGCAAATACTCCTTATAAACTGTTACTTTAACTACTCTCTTATAAACTATTATGTAAACCCAATAACCACTTACAGCTATTTGCATAAACAAACAAGCAAAAATAAAATGAATATGAACTCTACACTTTATCTGTGTCCCCCAGTTTTTAACTTTTTGTTGTTTCTATTTATATCTTATTGTTCTGATTATTTCTAGAAAAGTTGTATCTTATTGTTCTGATTATTTCTAGAAAAGTTGTATCTTATTGTTCTGATTATTTCTAGAAAAGTTGTAGCTATTATTTTTGACTGGTTCATCGTTCAGTCTTTCTACTTAAGATAAGAGTAGTTTACACACCACAGTTACAGTGTTACAATATGCTGTGTTTTTCTGTCTACTTATTATAATCAATGAGTTTTGTACCTTCAGGTGATTATTTATTGCTCATTAAGGTCCTTCACTATAAATGTACTCCTTTTAACATTTCTTGTAGGACAGATCTAGTATTGATGGAATCCCTCAGCTTCTGTTTGTCTGGGAAGGTCTTTATTTCTCCTTCATGTTTGAAGGATATTTTTGCTAGATATACTATTCTATAGCACAACTTTTTTGTTGTTATTGTTTTGTTTTTTATTTTTTTTTCCTCAGCACTTAAATTTGTCTTGCCAGTCTCTTTTGGCCCATAAGGTTTCCACAGAAAAGTCTGCTGCCACATGTATTGTATGTTATTTGTTTTGTGTTGTTTTTTTTTTCTCTCTAGTTGTTTTTAGGATCCTTTCTTTATTCTAGACCTTTCATACTTTGATTATTAAATCCCTTGAGGCAGTCTTGTTTGGGTTAAATTTACTTGGTGTAGTATAACCTTCTTGTACTTGGATATTGATATATTTCTCTAGGTTTGAGAAGTTCCCTGTTATTGTTCTTTGAATAAAATTTCTACCCCTATCTCTTCCTCTACCTCCCCTTTAAGTCTGATAACTCTTAGATTTGTCCTTTTGAGGCAATTTGGTAGATCTTGTAAGCATATTTCATTGTTTTTATTCTTATTTCTTTTGTCTCCTCTGACTGTGCATTTTCAAATAGACTGTCTTTAAGCTCACTAATTGTTTCTTCTGTTTGATCAGTTCTCCTATTAAAGGACTCTGATGCATTCTTCAGTATGTCAACTGCACCTTTTAGGCCTAAAATGTCTACTTAATTCTTTTTAATTTATGTCAATATCTTTGTTAAATTCGTCTGATAGAATTCTGAATTCCTTCTCTGTGTTATCTTGAATATCTTTGAATTTCCTCAGCACAGCTATAGGTTAGTGCAAAAGTAATCTATGTGTTCTAGCTGTATCTGCTTTAGGGGCACCCTAAGCCCAGTAATGCTGTGGATCTTGTAGACTTATAGAAGTACCACCTTGATAATCTTGGACATATTCCGGGAGAATTCTCTGGATTTCTAAGCAGAGACTCTTGTTCTCTTCTCTTACTTTCTTCCAAACATACATAGTCTCTCTCACTCTCTGTTCTGAACCACTTGGAGCTAGGGAAAGAGTGACACAAGCATTCCTGGGACCAACACTACTATGAAGCCAGCACAGACCTGAGTCCTGGCCCTGAAACCAGCACAACACTGGTTCTCACCCAAGGCCTGCTGTAACCACTCCTTGGTTACTGCCTGTGTTCACTCAAGGCCCTGGAGCTCTGAAATCAGCAGGTGGCAAAGCCAGCCAAGCCTGTGTCTTTCCCTTCAGGGTGCAAGGTCCCCCGGTCTCTGGGTTGGTAGGGAGTCAGGGACTAGAGTCAAAAACCCTCGAAATCTAATTGGTGTTCTATTGTATTGTGGCTGAGCTGGCACTCAAACCACAAGACACAGTCCTTCCTTTCCCTTTCCAAAGGCATAGGATCCTTACCTTGTAGCCACCACCACCCCAGGCCATGAGGGGTACTGCCATACTACCACTGATGTTCTCTTAAAATCCAAGGTCTCTTATTTCAGCTTGTCATGAATGCTGACTGGCCTGGGACTCACATTTCAGGGCAGTGGACTTCCCTCTGGCCAAGGGCAGGTCCAGAATTGCTATCTAAGAGTGAGGTCCTGGATGGCATTTCTTGACCTGCTTGGTCAAGCTTGGTGTTCTACCTGCCTTTGGCCATGCTGGTACCTAAGCCGCAAGACAAAATCTCTCCCTCTACTTTTCTCAAGCAGAAGGCATTTTGACCCAGAGCCACCACAGCTGGTAATGTGCTGAGTCTCGCCTGAAGCCAGCAAGTTTCAAAGGATCACCAAGGCCTTTGACCTGGGTAACATTTCTGGTTATTCAGGGCCCAACAGCTCTTTATTTAGCAGATGATGAATGCTGCTAAGACTGGGTCCTGTCCTTCAAGGCATCAGGTTCCCTTCTGGCTCAAGGTATGTCTAGAAATGTCATCTGGGAACCAGGGCCTGGAATGGGGACCTCATGACTCTGACCAGTGCTCTATCTTGGTGTAGCTGAGCTGGTATCCTAGATGCAAGATAAAATTCTCCACATTCTTCCTTCTCCTCCACTCAAGCAGAGGGAAGAGGTCTCTTTTGGAGCCATGAGCTGTGCAGCCTGCAGTTAGGGAAGGGGTGAGCCAGGACTCACTTGGCCACTGCCACTTGTGTCTCAATATGTCACATGCACCCCCAGTCCACTGTCACTGGGCCTAGTTCAGCACTAGGACTTGCTTAAGAGTTGCAGTCCTTATGACCTATACTGTCTCTCAAGTTTACTTGTAGACACAGAGAGCTATAGCCCTTGGTGGAGGTTTGCAGGACTCAACTGTGGACTGCTGGGACCAGTCATTCCCCTCTGTTTAGGGCTGGTTTAAATGCTCCCTCTATGGGCAAGCATCAGTTGAGTTTGGTTTGGTTTTCCTTTCTGCTGTAACAGAACAGCACTGAGCTCAATGCTTCACAATTGCTGTGTTCTCCCTCCCCTAATGCTCAGCACCAAGCTGTTTCTGCCAGGGTCAGGGAGGGGTGGCCTTGGCAACTTAGAGCTGTTTTTTCTATCTCTTCAGTGCCTCTTTCAGCAATATGAAGTTGAAACCAGGTACTATGAGTGTTCACCTGATTTTTGGTCCTTATGAAGGTACTTTTTTATCTAAGTAATTGTTAACTTGGTTTCCTTCCAGTTGAGAGGAGTGGTGTACAATTGGTGGGGCTTTCTCTTCTGCTCTCTTGCTCTGCCTCCTCCCCAGTTACTGAAAATTTTTTAGTATCCATGTCTGCATGTAATTATATCATAGTCAATTTTTTTGTGCTGTAAAAGTGTAATATTCCTTTATCATAACATTTCATTCACAGCAACTGCTAGAAGTTAGCTTTCAGTATCTAGACCAATAGTTGTTAACATTAATGTGTATCAGAATCACCTGCAGGGCTTATTAAAAGGCTAAGTGTAGGGCCCCATTCTGAGTTTCT
The DNA here is from genome assembly GCF_000001405.40 of Homo sapiens. Classification (NCBI taxonomy): domain Eukaryota; kingdom Metazoa; phylum Chordata; class Mammalia; order Primates; family Hominidae; genus Homo; species Homo sapiens. The sequence continues at coordinate 49,038,083 of NC_000007.14, read as the reverse complement.
GATTCAGTAGATAGGATTTGCATTTTTACAAGTAGCCAGTTGGTGCTGCTGGAACTGCTTTGAAAATCACTGGTCTACATTCCAAGACATTGGTAGGTCCTTAGAAATGATTAGTTTTTGTTTAAATTAATTTTACACGTGAAAAGCCTGCAGATCAAATAGCAACATGTGGTCAAAAAGTTGCTTATATCAGAGTCAAAACTCTCAGATGAGTAATCTTGCTTGGCTCTCCTCCTTCCTCAGGGTGAATTTATTGCATCTCACTCCTTACAGCCCAGCCATGGTTGAATGTTTTAGTAATTCCCATCTAGTGATTCTTTGACTCTTACCACATTAATTTTCCTTAAGCCCAGATAAACCTTAAGTGCTTTCTCCTTATCTTACCAAATTAAACAAGCACCTTATATTTTATAGCAGTAGAAATCTCAGCACACAAACTCATTTGGAAAAGTTTAACTTTCTCTGGTTATCTAGAGTTCAACTTAATTTCCATTTCAATTCCCCATTCTTTTGTATGATAAAAGCTCCTGCCATCCACTGGCCCTCTTGGTTGCATCTGAGTTCGAAGTGACTAGCATGGTATCAACACACTGGGGAAGAGGATCTTCTGGATAATTTTTCTACTCCACTGATGCTGAGATTTGCAAAATTCCACCTATTTCTCATTTGTTGGTGCACACAAGTCATTGCATTGCACACATTCTAACCCTTCAGGCTTCTGTCTAATGTTTCTGATCATTTACTGCATTGTCATAATGGGATAGAAAACATCATCTTACTGTTCTTGGACTGCAGAAAATTGGGAGGCCACGTCAGGTCCACCTGCATAAACACACTTTACAGCCACCCTTTCTATTCTGGAGTTTTATCAACTCTCTGCTCTATTATTGAGTGTGAGGACACAGCCTTGTTCTGATGGCTGTACTGCTGTCCTAGTCCTCTCACTGGAAGCAGGGCATAGCTCTCTCTTTCTCAGAGATCAAAAGCCATAAGGATTCACACGCAATTTAGGATGTGCAAAGCATTAGCCTTATTCAATATGTGCTTTTATTAAATTATTTTTTATTTTCCAAGTTCTTCTGTGTCTAGAAACATCTTTTCTACGCTTTCCTGCTGTAACATATAGGGAAAGAAATGGCATAGAGTCTCCCTGCCTGAACTGGAGTATAGAGAAAGGGATTAAAAAACAGTAACAATAAAAATGAAAATAAGGCCAGGCTCAGTAGCTCACACCTGTAATCCCAGCACTTTGGGAGACTGAAGTGGGAGGATCACTTGAAACCAGGAGTTTGAGATTATTTCGGGCAACAAAATGAGACCCCGTCTCTGCAAAAAAAAAAATAAAAAATTAGCCAGGCATGGTGGTGTGTACCTATAGCACTCGATACTCTGGAGGCTGAGGTAGGAGAATTGCTTGAACCCAGGAGTTCAAGGCTTCAGTGAGCCAAGATGAGGCTATTGCACTCCAGCCTGGGCTACAGAGCAAGATCCTGTCTGTAAAAGTAAATAAAAATAAATAAATAAATACAATATAAATATGTCAGTACATTATCTGCCACAACAACAATCATGGATGGGGAAATGCTGCCCTGCTCACACTGTGATTGTAAATGCTGAATATAGCCAGAAGAAATGTGAGCATTTTGTTTTGGAGTAATGTAAGAAGCTCTTTCCAGGGGAGAATACATATAGTAGTCCTTAAAGAAACATAGGGTTTCAGCTTCCAAAGGAGAGAAGGTGACAGTTGTCCAGACATTATCCTGACAACAGCAAGATAGCTCAGCTGTAAAAATGTGTGCATTCATATGAAATAATCTGAGAAATGACCAATGCCCTTCCTCCAGGAGAAAACAGAAGCCGAGGAGACTAACATTCCCCATCTTCCACTAGGGCCCAAAGGGATTAGATACATTATCTCAATGCATGCTGTCCCATATTGCATTTTACTAATCATCACTGAGCATGTGGAAGGGGGCCTGGGTTAGTGTACAAGTACTGAAAACGAGGCAAAGTAGTTCAATTGTGGAAATGCCTGCTTAAAAATAATAATAAAATAAAGAAGAAAAACAAAACAGAATGTCCTTGGCGATCAATTTGTAATGAAGGTGGGAGGAATAGTGTTTAAAGTTTAAACCCTGCAGCTCAAATTCTAATACAACCAACAATTGTTGAGGCCTTGATAAATTCTAGGGACTGCATGAAGTGCCTTCACCCCCAGCATTCCATTTACCTCCTTCACCTGCCCTCAGAGGATGTGCTTTGACCTCCTTCACAGAATTAAAACACTCTAAAGATCACTGTGGAGGAAAGAGGTAGAGCTGAGCTTTCTGTCCTCTCCATTTTCTTCTAGTTGCCCCACTATTTGAAATAAAACATTTCTCTTTCTTCTCCAAAGGTTTTCAATTCACAAATCATGCACGGACATTTAAAAAAAAATAAAAATAAACACATTTATAAAGAAAAACAATCACCTATTATTTACAAGTTTCCTAAGTAGAGATGGTCATTGCTAATATATTGTGGCAAATTTTTGCAAGTTTCACTTTATGATAATCTCTATTTAGGTGCATGAATATTCACTTGTATATATGTGCATACATGTGTGGGTGTATATACATATGGAGAGATTGAGATTATATTTGTATATATTTTTCTAGTCTTCAGCGGCCCTTAATAAAGTTTTTCTTATTAACATAAGTGTATCTAAATGTAACTTTTACATTTTCTATTTTCTACCATGTACTAAATTAATAATAATTGCATTATATACATCTTAAAGTTATCTCATTATTCCTTCATATAATTTTATCTAATGCATTTATAACATTATTGTACCAATATTTATCCACTAATATTTTATAACCAGAAGACCTGATGTGTCATGCTGATTTCAAGATTAACAAAATAATTGAATATTTTGTGTTCAAAATAGTAAAGCAATATTACAAATAGAAATGACAAAATAGAATATTCTGTAAGGTCATTCTTTATACAGCATACAAGCAGAGATGACAAGAAATAATCATTTGGTTCCAGAAAAAATAGCAACTTTTAATGTAGAAAGGGTACAAATAAACAGGGCTGAATAACAAATAAACCAGAAAAAAAATGATTTTCATTAATATACCTGGTGGTTTAAAAAATATATATCCACACATTTTATAGTATTTCTTAACTCAAAAGACAGACCTAAGTATTCTTCACCTTGAGTATGGTTTGTGTTTAGTAATAGGTTTCTAGTGAGTGGAATACACCAGATAGTATGGGGTGTCATTTCTGATATTTATGTATAGGAAGACTGTGATTTCTATCTTGGGTGAGTTCTTTTTCTCTCTTGAATCACTCACTCTTTGGGGAAGCCAGCTACCATATTACAAGGATATTCAAGGAGCTTTTGTAAAAGACCACATAACAAATGACTGAAGTCTTATATCAAGTAAGTGACTTCAGATACTTTCAGAATAAAAAATAAATATGCAAAAATAAATTAAATTTCTTTACAGTAGCAACGAAAAATCAGAAAAAATGTAAAATAGCAATATTATACACAATGTCATTGAAATAATTACTTAGAAATACATCTGACATAGAATGTGATGAATATAGTTAAAAATACAAAGAATTTCTGAGAGGAATTACTAAAGGGAGATTAAAAAAATAGATATAACATGCTCAGTATTGCTAGAATTAAATTGTGTTGCCTTAATTTGTCCTACAGGTTCAACAGACTCCCAATGAAAATTTCGGCAAACATTATTATACATATTGACAAACAAATTTTAAAACTCATATGAAAATGTAAGTTTTCTAGAAAAAGGGTCCCCAGCCAGTCTGTGGCCTGTTAGAAACTGACCCGCACAGGAGGTGAGTGGCAGGTGAGCGAGCATTCCTGCCTGAGCTCTGCCTCCCATCAGATCAGCAGCAGTATTAGATTCTCATAGGAGCACAAACCCTACTGTGAACCGCATATGCGAGGCATCTAGGTCGCGTACTCCTTCTGAGAATCTAATGCCTGATCATCTAAGGTAGAACAGTTTCATGCCTAAACCATCCTCCCCAACCTCCTTTTCCAAGGAAATATTGTCTTCCACTAAACAAGTCCCTGGTGCCAAAAAGTTGGGGGACTGCTGATCTAGAATATCCAAATATTGGTAAGATAAACAAGGAAGGAATACTAATGTTATCCTATTTGAGACCCACTGTAAAGCTACAGTAATCAAGAGAGTGTGGTATTAGTCTAATGACATGTAAACAGATCAATAGAACAGAATAGCCAATACAGAGACCAAATATATATATATATACATAACTGATTTTTCACTTACATGAAAAAGTGATTCAAGGAAGAAAAAATAGTCTTATCAACATATGAAAAACAAATGTCTATATGTCGAAAAGAAAAACCCAACTTCAATACATGTCTCAGATTATGTATGAAAGTTAATATAAAATTAATCAAAAACAAAGTATAAAATGTGGAACTATAAAATTGCTAGAAGAAAAAATAGAAGAGGCTGGGCACAGTGGCTCACACCTGTAATCCCAGCACTTTGGGAGGCTGAGGCCAGTGGATCACCTGAGTTCAGGAGTTCAAGACCAGCCTGGCCAACATGGTGAAACCCCATTTTTACTAAAAATACAAAAATTAGCCAGGTGTGGTGGCACATGCCTGTAGTCCCAGCTACTCAGGAGGCTGAGACAGGAAAAACTTGAACCCGAGAGATGGAAGTTGAAGTGAGCCAAGATCACACCACTGCATTCCAGCCATTCCAGCCTGGAGAAAGAGCAAGGCTCCATCTCAAAAAAAAAAAAAAAAAAAGAAAAGAAAAAGAAAAAATAGAAGAAAATATTTATAACCCCAAGTTACGAAAAGATGTTTAGATACAACCTCAAAGCATAATCTATAATTGTTACAAAATAGTTGATAAAGTAGACTTTATCAAACTTTAATTTTTTGTGGAAAACACTATTAAGATAATTAAGTCAAGACACAGATTGAAAAAATAATCCTCTACAAATCATATTCTAACAAGGTATTTTTAGCCTAGATATATAAAAACTCTCCAAATTCAAAAAAGTAAATACTCCAATAAATATTGGCAAAAGATTTTATCAATTTGCCAAAGAATATAAATGGGTAGCAAAAAAGTATATGAAAAAATTCTCAACATCAGTAGTCATTAGAAAAATTCAAAAAAAAATGAAATGAGATACCACTAAAGACCTACAAGAACAGCTGAAATTTAAAAACATTGTTCGTGGAGGATCAAGAAGCCACATACACTGCTAGTGTGATTGTAAAATGAAAAACCTATTCATAAAATTTTGCTAGTTTCAAAAAATGTCAAACAGATATCTACCATATAATCCACCTATCTCCATCTCAGGTAGTGCCTCTGACCAAAAGAAAATGAAAGCACGTTTCTATACAAAAGATTTACATAAAAGTTCATAGCTGCCTAATTTGTACGAATAAAAAGTAACAGATACAACCCAACTACCTTCCACAGAAAAATGTTTTTATTAACTTCTCATAGAATCATTCTAAAAAATACGAATCAGCAACAAAAAGGAATAAACCAATATTAATAGCCAAAACTGATCTGGTTACTATAATAGGATGTAGCCAGTGTACTTGATATGCTGGGAAATGTCAATGGCTAAGGAATTATGGAGCTTGATGAGACGATATAGATGAAAAATAGGTTTTTGCTGAATGTGGATAAAATAATCAAAATATTGTGATCAGAAAGCTTATGTTACCCTTTACAATAGGAAATAATTTCCTTCCTATCAGTTTTCAGGAGTAAGTCAGAGCCAGAGTCCATAAATAAAAGGACATCTATGTTTCTTTGTCAAAAGATCCTGCAAAATCATTGCAAATATTTGAAATAAATATTCTCCCTGTACTTCTAAAAAGGATCATGACTCTTTCCAAGCTAACAATACCTGAATAAAACAGACTGATTAGGCTTTTTAAGGACTGGTGGATATGGGGTTTGAGCTAACATTAATGCAAGCAAACCTTCATAGTCATATGGCTAGGGTAGGAAATCATGGAGGCCATGTGATAAAGTGATAGATGAAATAACTGCAGACCCACCAGTTGGTCAATATCTTGTCCCTGGGTGTATAATTAATTACTTAACAGTGGAAAGTATCTTCAAATTGTGATCCTGACCCCTCTAATCAGAGCTATAAAAATGGAAATATGTGTTAGTTTCCTGGGGTGGTTGTAGCAAATTACACAAACTGGGTGGCTTGAAACAACAGAAATTTATTCTCTCACAGTAGTTGAGGCCAAAAGTCTGAAATTAGAGTGTTACTAGGGTTGATTTGTCCTGGAGGCTCTGAAGAAAAATCTATCCTATGCCTCTCTCCTGGCTTCTGGTAGCTGCTAACAATCCTTGTAGATATATCACTCCAACTCTGCCTTCATCATCACGTGGTCTTCTGCGTGTGTGTCTCTGTCTGTCTCCATTTTTATTCTTATAGGGACACCAATCTTGGATTAGGGCTCACCTTAATCCAGTATAACCTCATCTTAACTTTAGTAATGACATCTGCAGACACTATTTCCATGTAAGGTCACATTCTGAAATTCCAGGTGGACATAAATTTTGGAAGGATGCTGTCAACCCAGTAGAAAAAGGCTAAATGGAAGTACCTGAAGCTACTCACATTCATCCAGCACAGAGAGAAAATCAGTAGCTATATTGTATTTCAAGACTGATTGTAAAAGTTAGTGCCGTGATTGTAGACCTAAAACAGGATTTGGCAAACAATGTCCCATGGGCCAAATTTGGTCCACTGCCTCTTTTTGGAAACAAAATTTTACTGGAATATGGCCACAGTCATTAGTCTATGCATATGCTGCAGAGTTGAAAAATTGAGACAGAGACCTTAAGACCTATAAAGCCTACAGTTATGATCTAGTCCTAGAAAGTTTGCCAACCTCTGACTTAAAGGATGCAGTATCGGTGCTTAGCATAATATCTCACTCCGTTTTACCTTTGTGGCTTCTGCTAAAACTGGGGAAATTGTATCAGAAGAAGGTGGATTATTGTTAATATAACCAAATGGTGTTGGTATTTCCAATTATAGCTATCGTGCCAATATGGTTCTTTACTGAAAATGATCCATACAGCTGCTGGCATTCACTCTGTAGCCACTGATCTGTGAATGTTTAGTTATTGGTCCATATTAGTAGGGTCGATCAAAAGCAGTTTGCCTTTACACGAGGGACTCAGTAGTACACTTTCACTGTCTTACTTCGGGACTGTATTAACTGTCAGAAGTCTGACAAAATACGATCTTTAAGAACCTTGTTTTCCCGATGTTCTGTAAAGCTTCATGTTTGTGCACTGTACTAATGGCATTATACTAATGGGAAATGGTGAGCAGGAGGTGGTGAGTACCATTAATAACCTAGTGTGACACATGCATCCTACAATGTGAGAGAGAAAAAACATACGCACACCAAACACATTTACTGACCAGTTATTGGTGAGAAGTTTTTTAACATGCAATATTCTGTGGCATGCCACCTCATACTCTTTATTAAGAAAGAGGCACAGCACTAGGTATCTTTGTATTTTAGAGGCAGAATATATGACACTTGAGAATAAATCCCTGAAACCTGCCCTGGATGACTCACCAGGCTTTCACTTTTGAGTGAGACCCAGCGCAGGAGATAATTTTGCACCAATGTCAGACCCTGATCCAAGCTGCTTGCCTCAGGGCAAGCTTAGATATGATAAGCTATGATGATATCTAAGCTATTATATATCTATATGATATATAGCTTATCATATATCATATATATCATGTATGATACATAGCTATGTTATGTAGCTTATCCTATCTGATTGTGCTAGAGGTATCCATAGTGGATAAAGGTGCCCTCTGGTATTTGTGAGGGTAAGCTATCCTGATTAATGTCCAGGAAAGTATGTCAGGAAGCCGTGCACCTCCTGGGATGTCTCTTTGTGTTTTTTCCTGAGTTATAACAGTGAATGGTATTAGGTTGGTGCAAAAGTAATTGCGGTTTTGCTGTCGCTTTTAATGGCAAACACTGCAATTACTTTTGCACCAACCTAATATATTAGAACAGGCTCAAAACAAAAAGCTCCCCCAGGAATCCAATTAATGCTGTATCTCAAGATGAGCCACGTTGGCTAAATTACTAGCCAAGGTTGAGTGAAATATAAAATGGATATTTTAGGAAGGATACAATAAATGACATGTAGGGTGCAAGAACAGGTTTAGCAGCAGGGACTGTAGCTTGTTTCATTTACCTGTTTGCATTGAGTATTTGCAGAGATTGTGGCTGACTACCACCTCAAACTGGACTCTGCAGTGGATTGCACTCGTATCTCAGAAGAGTAAGAGCATCTTGTTATCACAGATGAGGCCCAATAAATTAGTATGGGAGTTGGATACAAGCTGTGGAATGATTAGAAATATGTTCGGTCTTTGCAACCCTGCTCCAATTCCTTGCTCTATGCATCTTTTCTATTTGGCTGCTCCTGAGTTATATCTTTTATTATAAAAAGTAATAGTGAGTAAACTTTTCTGGAGTTTTATAAGCCATTCTATCAAATTATCAAACTTGAAAGAGTATGGAGGGAATCCTCCAACACTGTAGCCAAGTTAGACAGAAGAATGGGTAATCTGGGGACCCTATACCTGCCACTGGCATCTGAAGGGAGGTCAGTTTTGTGGGACTGAGCCCCTAAACCTATGAAGCCTGACACCAACTTTGGATAGTTTATGTCAGAATTGAATTAATTTGTAGGACACACATTTGGTGTCCAGAGAGTTTGAAAACTGGTGGATATAAGGGAAAAAAAATCACACATTTGGTGTCAGAAGTATTGTGAATAAAACAGCTCAAACGGAGGGCAGGAGCAGATCTGAATGACCAAGGTGTGAACTGTGTCAGATAACTCTTCTGCACCATTTGAGAGTCTCAGTCTCACTTGCCTTTATTCCCACCACTGCTGCTCTGTGTGGGCATCAGTCAGCTTCATCCTGACCTCTGCCTGTGCCATGTGGATTCTGCCACATTATCTATGGCTTCTTGATTGACACCAAGGCATGGGAAGCTATGGAAATTCTCTCTGAGTCTGTGTATGCATGAACTTGAAATGTGGGGCAGTTATGAGGTGGAGATGGGAGACAGTACACAAGCCATTTATCCTCTTTTGCGACGAATAGTCACGAGATGCCTTTCATAGCCTTTTCAGATAATGCAAAGGGATTAAAGCCATCAGTCACTCATATGACAATCAACAATAACTCTTAATTTCATGAATTCCTTCTCATGGCCTGTTTTGTTCTCCCATCCCTCTCTCTTGCTTTCTGAGATTACATTTCCTAATTAAGTAACACACATAAGTCTTTGTCTAAGATTCTGTTTTACAGAAAAAACAACCTAATAAAATGTTTGTAATTTTTGTTAAATAAAACAAGCCAAGTGTTTTTTTTTTTTTTTTTTTTTTTTTTTTTGAGACGGAGTCTCGCTCTGTCGCCCAGGCTGGAGTGCAGTGGCGCGATCTCGGCTCACTGCAAGCTCCGCCTCCCAGGTTCACGCCATTCTCCTGCCTCAGCCTCCCGAGTAGCTGGGACTACAGGCGCCCGCTACCACGCCCGGCTAATTTTTTGTATTTTTAGTAGAGACGGGGTTTCACCGTGTTAGCCAGGATGGTCTCAATCTCCTGACCTCGTGATCCGCCCGCCTCGGCCTCCCAAAGTGCTGGGATTACAGGCGTGAGCCACCGCGCCCGGCCAAGTGTTTTTTATTACATAGTTCATTTTCACTATGGAGAAATAGCTAAATATAAACCCACACACATGCAATCCCAGGGAGAGACAAAAAGAGAAGAGAGAAAGAGAGACAAAGGGAGAGAGACAGAGGGAAATACAGATACAGAAACAAGTATAGAAACATATGTTCCCAGA